>NC_000003.12:172341937-172493452 GCF_000001405.40 Homo sapiens | reverse complement strand
TAAAAACTCTCAATAAATTAGGTATTGATGGGACGTATCTCAAAATGATAAGAGCTGTTTATGACAAACCCACAGCCAATATCATACTGAATGGGCAAAAACTGGAAGCATTCTCTTTGAAAACTGGCAAAAGACAGGGATGCCCTCTCTCACCACTCCTATTCAGCATAGTGTTGGAAGTTCTGGCCAGGGCCATCAGGCAGGAGAAGGAAATAAAGGGTATTCAATTAGGAAAAGAGGAAGTCAAATTGTCCCTGTTTGCAGATGACATGACTGTATATCTAGAAAATCCCACCATCTGAGCCCAAAATCTCCTTAAGCTGATAAGCAACTTCAGCAAAGTCTCAGGATACAAAATCAATGTGCAAAAATCACAAGCATTCTTATACATCAATAACAGACAAAAAGCGAGCCAAAACATGGGTGAACTCCCATTCACAATTGCTTCGAAGAGAATAAAGTACCTAGGAATCCAACTTACAAGGGATGTGAAGGACCTCTTCAAGAAGAACTACAAACCACTGCTCAACGAAATAAAAGAGGATACAAACAAATGGAAGAACATTCCATGCTCATGGATAGGAAGAATGAATATGATGAAAATGGCCATACTGCCAAAAGTAATTTATAGATTCAATGCCATCCCCATCAAGCTACCAATGACTTTCTTCACAGAATTGGAAAAAACTAGTTAAAGTTCATACGGAACCAAAAAAGAGCCCACATTGCCAAGTCAATCCTAAGCCAAAAGAGCAAAGCTGGAGGCATCACACTAC
Organism: Homo sapiens; assembly: GCF_000001405.40. NCBI lineage: Eukaryota > Metazoa > Chordata > Mammalia > Primates > Hominidae > Homo > Homo sapiens. Next base: position 172,492,676 of record NC_000003.12, on the reverse strand, counting down.
CTGACTTCAAACTATACTACAAGGCTACAGTAACCAAAACAGCATGGTACTGGTACCAAAAGGGAGATATAGACCAATGGAACAGAACAGAGCCCTCAGAAATAACGCCACACTTCTACAACTACCTGATCTTTGACAAACCTGACAAAAACAAGAAATGAGGAAAAGGATTCCCTATTTAATAAATGGTGCTGGGAAAACTGGCTAGCCATATGTAGAAAGCTGAAACTGGACTCCTTCCTTACACCTTATACAAAAATTAATTCAAGATGGATTGAAGACTTAAATGTGAGACCTAAAACCATAAAAACCCTAGAAGAAAACCTAGGCAATACCATTCAGGACATAGGCATGGGCAAGGACTTCATGTCTAAAACACCAAAAGCAATGGCAACAAAAGCCAAAATTGACAAATGGGATCTAATTAAACTAAAGAGCTTCTGCACAGCAAAAGAAACTACCATCAGAGTGAACCTACAGAACCATCAGAGGCAACCTACAGAATGGAAGAAAATTTTTGCAATCTACTCATCTGACAAAGGGCTAATATCCAGAATCTACAAAGAACTCAAACAAATTTACAAGAAAAAAACAAACAACCCCATCAAAAAGTGGGTGAAGGATATGAATAGACACTTCTCAAAAGAAGACATTTATGCAGCCAAAAGACACATGAAAAAATGCTCATCATCACTGGCCATCAGAGAAATGCAAATCAAAACCACAATGAGATACCATCTCACACCAGTTAGAATGGCAATCATTACAAAGTCAGGAAACAACAGGTGCTGGAGAAGATGTGGAGAAATAGGAACACTTTTACACTGTTGGTGGGACTGTAAACTAGTTCAACCATTGTGGAAGTCAGTGTGGTGATTCCTCAGGGATCTAGAACTAGAAATACCATTTGACCCAGCCATGCCATTACTGGGTATATACCCAAAGGAATATAAATCATGCTGCTATAAAGACACATGCACACGTATGTTTATTGCGGCACTATTCACAATAGTAAAGACTTGCAACCAACCCAAATGTCCAACAATGATAGACTGGATTAAGAAAATATGGCACATATACACCATGGAATACTATGCAGCCATAAAAAATGATGAGTTCATGTCCTTTGTAGAGACATGGATGAAGCTGGAAACCATCATTCTGAGCAAACTGTCGCAAGGACAGAAAACCAAACACTGCATGTTCTCACTCATAGGTGGGAATTGAACAATGAGCACACTTGGACACAGGGTGGGGAACATCACACACTGGGGCCTGTCGTGGGGTGGTAGGAGGGGGGAGGGATAGCATTAGGAGAAATACCTAATGTAAATGACGAGTTAATGGGTGCAGGCACACCAACATGGCACATGTATACATATGTAACAAACCTGCACGTTGTGCACATGTACCCTAAAACTTAAAGTATAATAAAAAAAAAGTCATATCCTGCTATAAAAAATAAAGAAAAAGAAAATGTGGCACATATACACCATGGAATACTATGCAGCCATAAAAAATGATGAGTTCATGTCCTTTGTAGGGACATGGATGAAGCTGGAAACCATCATTCTCAGCAAACTATCGCAAGGACAAAAAACCAAACACCGCATGTTGTCACTCATAGGTAGGAACTGAACAATGAGAACACTTGGACACAGGAAGGGGAACATCACACACTGGAGTCTGTTGTGGGGTGGGGGAGTGGGGAGGGGTAGCATTAGGAGATATACCTAGTGTTAAATGACGAGTTAATGGGTGCAGCACACGAACATGGCACATGTGTACATATGTAACAAACCTGCACATTGTGCACATGTACTCTAGAACTGAAAGTATAATAAAAATATATATATTAAAAAAAAGAAAAGGAATGAGTTCACATCCTTTACAGGAACATGGATGAAACTAGAAGCCATCATTCTCAGCAAATTAACACAGCAACAGAAAACCAAACACCACATGTTCTCACTCATAAGTGGGAGTTGAACAGTGAGAACACATGGACACAGGGAGGGGAACATCTCACACTGGGGCCTGTCAGGGAGTGGGGGGCAAGGGGATGGAGAGCATTAGGACAAATACCGAATGCATGTGGGGCTTAAAACCTAGATGATGGGTTGATGAGTGCAGCAAACCACTATGGCACATGTATACCTATGTAACAAACCTGCAGGTTCTGCACATGTATCCCAGAACTTAAAGTAAAATTAAAGAAAGAAAGAGAGAGAGAGAGAAAGAAAGAAAGAAAGAAAGAGAGAGAGAGAAAGAAAGAAAATCCTATCCACAAAGCATGAGGAACATGACAATGCGGTAATCTTATCTTTCAACCCAGTGGAACCATTGCTGTGCCCCCTGGTGGACGCACTCTTCCTTTAAGCACTAAAACTAAATTATTGCTTCTCAAACTTTAGTGAACATCAGAATCGCCTGGAGAACTTGTTAAAACACAGATTTTTAAAACCCACTCCCAGAGTTTTTGATTCAGTAGGCCTGGGTTGTGGTCTGAGAACTTACATATTACACAAGCTCTCAGATAACACTGCGGCTGCTGGTCCACAGAAGACATTTTTTTAAACTTAAAAAAAATTATTGTAAATTGACAAATTATAGTTGTGCATATTTATGGGACACAAAGCGATGTTATGATATATGAATGCAACGTTGAATAATTAAATCAAGCTAATTAACATCCATCACCTCACATACTTGTGATTTTTGTGGTGAGAACATTTGAAATGTACTCTCAGCAGTTTTGAAATGTACAATACGCTATTATTAACTATATCCACTATGTTTTGTGCAATAAATCTAAAAAAATTTATTCCTCTTGTCTCACTGAGGCTTTGTGCCCTTTGACCATCATCTCCCCATTCCTCCATCCTCCAGTCTCTGGTAACCACCATTCTATTCTCTGCTTCTATGAGTTCGATCATCTTAGATTCCACATATAAATGAGAACATGCAGCATTTGTCTTTCTGTGCCTGGCTTATTTCAGTTAGCAAAATGTTCTCTAATTCCATCTATGTTGTTGCAAATGACAATTTCTTTCTTTTCAAAGGCTGAATAGTACCATTTTGTGCATATGTACACATTTTCTTTATCCATTCACCTGTTAATGGACACTTAGTTAGATTCCTTATCTTGGCTATTGTGAACAGTGCTGCAGCAAACATGCAAGTGCAGACATCTCTTTGACATGCTCCTTCCAAATCTTCTAGGTAAATACCCAAAAGTGGGATCAGTGGATCATATGGTAGTTCTATTTTTAGTTTCTTGAGGAACCTCCATACTGTTTTCCATAATGACTATAGTAATTTACATTCCCATCAATATTATACAAGTGTTCCCTGTTCTCCACATCCTTGCCAACAGTTATATTTTCACAGAATACGTTTTGATAATAAAACTATAAATTACTATTGGATGGATAGGAAGCAAGACATTTGAGAATAAGTAATTAGATGTATCATGTTCCACTTGTCTTCTGTCTTCTATTTCCAGCAATGAATTCTGTTCACTATTATGTCCTTCTACTCAGCATTACCTCTGACGAAGGCTCAATTCAAAGATAAGAAGCAAGGCAACATCATGAGATTCACTGGTTTTACCATATCTCTTGTTATCCCAAAGTAGTTGGCTTATAAAAAGGCGGAATGTTTATGGAAGACCCAACTATGGAGCAAACTTGGAGGGAACTCTTTGAAGATGGATTACAGGACTACAGGCTGCAGTATATGATTTGAACTGGTGACCAAAATATGATACTGTTACGCCTACACGTGGTGTGGAGTTACTAATTCAAAGGAAGGAAGGAAGAAAGGACAGAAGGGAGGGAGAAAGAGAAAGCCAAGGAGAAGAAAAAAAGAAAAAAATCACACAGAAACGAAAATTTAATCTAATTGGTAAGTGTAACTACTGGAGTGAGCCTTAGAGGAAAGACTTAAATCTGTTTCCTCAGTTGGTCTTGGATCTTGTAGGTCTCTCACAGCCTGAGTATTTCACCAAGTCAAATGTGACAATGTTTAAAGATATGTATTTTTTTATACAACATAGTCCTTAAATATTAATGAATTACTGTCAGATTGCTTTTCACAAGATTGTTAAGTTCCAAAGTGAGTAAGCAAATGGTAGTAATATCCAAATTTGCCATTGAAAATCTTTCAAATCATCCTGAAATCATCATGACCTCAGCTGTTAGAGGTGATAAAACAAGAATTAACTTCTTTGTTGAGGAGCTGTAGGCTCTGTTTTCTGGAGAGATGGACACGAAGGTCTATTTTGAAATAGAAAGCAAAATGGAATTCTCTTCCTCTCTCTTCCTCCAACTCTCTCTGTCTCCCCCTCTTACCCCACTCCCTCCGTCCTTCCTAGATGTGCAACAGATATGTATTTTTTGGATTGACAGATAAATAAGGAGATAGATAACAGTAATTTTTCCTTAATGGATTAGACATTTCTTGCTCATGCTTTTGAGTTTTCTTTAGCTGCCCATAAAGTCTCTGCTAGCAACACTATTCATGCACTTAGTGATTGCCTTATATATAGTCTTATATAATAAACTGGAGACTACAATGCACCACCTTCAGTAATGACTATAACATCTAGACAGAACATCATTAAGGAGATAGAGGACTTAAACGATACTATAAATCAACTAAACTTAACACCCACATATGGAACACTCCACCCAACAATAGCAGAGTACATATTATCCTCAAGAGCCCATGTAACATTCTAAAGATTAACTAAATGTTAGGCTACAAAACAAGTTGTGATACATTTTTTTAAATTAGAACAATACAAAATATTTTCTCTCACCACAATGGAAGAAAGCTAGAAATCAATAACAGAAAGAAAGTTGGAAAGTTCACTTTTAAATAATCAATGGGTTAAAGCAGAAATCACAAGGGAAAATAGTCATTACTTTGAGATGAATGATAATAAAAACACAGCATACCAAAACTTATGGGATGAACAAAAGCAATAGTTACTGCTATAAATAGCTGTGAATGCCTACATTAAAAAATAATCTTAAATCAATAGTTATCTTCGTGCACCAACACACCCGGCTAATTTTTGTAGTTTTAGTAGAGACGGGGTTTCACCATGTTGGCCAGAGTGTTCTCAAACTCTTGACCTCAGGTGATCCGCCTGAATTCCTTGAGGAATTCAAAAAAGAAAAGCAAACGAAACCTAAAGCTAGCAGAAGGAATAAAATAATAAAGATTAAAATAAAGATAAATGAAATAGGAAAATGATAGAATAAATGAAAGCAAAAGTTGATTCTTTGAAATAATTAAAAATTTGGCAAACATTTAGTGAGACTGAGAAAAAAAGAAAGAAGATGTAAATAGTTAAAATCAGAAATAAATGTGGAGACATTACTACCAACCTTACAGAAATAAAAAGGATTATAAGAGAACACTATGAACAATTGTATGCCATCAAATCAGATAACCAAGATGAAATAGACAAACTTCTGGAAACACATAACTTACCAAAACTAAGTCAAAAAAAAATAGAAAATCTGCCTGTAACAAGCAAAGAGATTCAGTAATCAAAAATCTCCCAACAAAGAAAAGTTCAGAACCAGATGGCTTAACTTATGAATTCTACAAAACATTTAAGGAAGAATAACACCAATCTTTTTCAAACTCCTCCAAAGAACACAGGAGAGAACACTTCCTATCAAATTCTATAAGGTCAGGATTATCCTGATACCAAACCCAAAGATACCACGAGGAAAGAAAACTACAAACCTAGATCTCTTATGAATATGATAAAAATCTTCAACAAAATACCGGCAAATTGGATCCTATAACATATTAAAAATATTTTACACCATGACCAGTGGAATTTATCCCAAGAATGTAGAAATGGTTCACCCTAAGAAAAGTGATCAATGTAACACATCACATTAATAGAATAAAGGGAAAGCCCCATATGATCATCTCATTTGACACAGAAAAAGCACTTAACAAAACCAACACCCTTTTATAATAAAAATACTCATAAAACTAGCAATATAAGAGAACTTCCTCAAAATGAAAAAGGACATCTATGAAAAACCTATAGCTATTATGATAGTCAGTGCTGAAAGACTGAAAGCTTTCCTCCTGAAATCATATATTAATACGATAATGCTCATTTTCATCATTGCTATTCAACAGTGTACTGGAAGCTCTAGCCAGAGCAATTAGGCAAGAAAAATGAATAAAGACATGCAGATTAGAAACAAAGAAGTAAAACTATCTCTATTCACAGCTGACATGATTCTATATGTAGAAAATCCCAATGAATCCGCAAAAAACCCTATTTGAACTAATTAACAAGTTTAGCAAAGTTGCAGAGTACAAGACCACAAACACACAGTTGTTTCTATATACGAGCAGTGATCAATCTGAAAAGGAAGTGGAGAAAACATTTTAATTCATAATAGCTTCCAAAAGAATAAAATATCTAGGAAGCCGGGCACAGTGGCTCAGGCCTGTAATTCTAGCACTTTGGGAGGCCGAGGCGGGCGGATCACAAGGTCAGGATTTCGAGACCAGCCTGGCCAGCATGGTGAAACCCCATCTCTACTAAAAATACAAAAATTAGCCAGGTGTGGTGGTGCATGCCTGTAGTCCCAGCTACTTGGGAGGCTGAGGCAGGACAATCACTTGAACCCAGGAAACAGAGGTTGCAGTGAGCCAAGATTGTATCATTGCCCTCCAGCCTGGGTGACAGAGTGAGACTCCGTTAAAAACAAACAAACAAACAAACAAAAAACTAGGAAAACATTTAAAAAGGGAAGAATTTTTAGACTAAAAACTATGAAATATTTTTGAGAGAAATTAAAGATCTAAAAAATGGAAAGACATTCATGTCCATGGATTGGAAGACTTACTATTGTGAAGGTGGCAATACTACTCAAAGATCTACAGATTCGGTGTAATCTCCATTAAAATTCCAACAGCCTATTTTGCAGAAATGAAAAACATGATGCTCAAATTCATATGGAATTGCAAGGACCCCCAAATAGCCAACATGATTTTAAAAAAGAACAAATTTGGAGGACTTACTCTTCCTGATTTCAGGACTTACTACAAAGTTACAGTAGTCAAAAATCGTGTGGTACTGGCATAAAGATACACCCATGAAATAGAACTGAGAAGAAATAAATCCATAAATATAAAGCCAATTGATTTTCGACAAGGGTGCCAACTCCATTCAATGGAGTTGAATGGAGTTGAATTATTAAAAATAAGTCCAATGCCATTACAATTAAGAAATTTGGTTCATCTAAAGTTACAAAGAAAATGAGAAGACAAAATACAAATTGGAAGGATATATTTGGAACATATTTCACTGACAAAGAGTAGTGTGACCAATGACCTCTGCATTGTTAAACACCGTAATCAATTCTTAGGTCTCCCTTGTCAGCAACATTTGACCCTGTTGGTTACTCCCTCTATAAAACAACTTCTCCTGTTTCCTAGACGCAGTCTCCTGATTTCCCTCCTCTTTCTCTGCACAAGCCTCCTCAGTCTCCTTTGGTGGTTTCTTCTCATGTGACTATAAAGCAGAGTGACCTAGAGCTCTGGTCTTGGACCTCTTCTGTTGTCTTATCTGCTTTCATTCCCTAAGTCATTTCATTCAGCTTCATGGCTTTCATACCATCTCTATGCTGATGAATTCCAATTGGATATCTCTAGCCCAGACAGCTGAACTCTAGGGTCATCCTACTGCCTGCTCCACATCTGCACTGGTATTTCTACAGGGTTCTCAATACATTTTTTAAAAATGAGCCCTAGGTATTGCCTTTGAAATCTGCTCCAGTCTCTCCATCTCCTTTCATGACAATCCCATCCTTCTAATTAATTTGGCAAAATCTTAACATTACCCTTGACTTCCTTCTTTATCTCATATTCCAAATGTGATCTATTTGCAGATCTTCTTATCCCTAACTTCAAAATATTCCCAGATTTAGACTGTTTCTCACCATTTCCACTGCCATCATCCGAGTCAGAGCCATCACCATCTCTCACGTGGATTATTGCAATACTCTTCACCTGCTCTCATTGCTTTTGCCCTGTCCAGTCACATGTCAGTCAAATGGCTTCTGTTAAAACCCCAATCATATCAATCCTCTGCTCAAAACCCTTTAATGGATCCCTATGTCACCTACAAGGTGAAAATCCTTACTTTGACTTACAAGCACCTACATGGTATGCTGTCATTTCTTCTCTGACTTCTTCCTATAAAACTTCCCCTTCCCTAATGCCCCTCCAGCAACTTTGAATTTTGTACTCTTTTGCCAACAAGCAAAACATTCTCCTTTCAGGTTTCTTAACTTGCCATTCTCCCTGCCTGGGAAGCTCTTCCTCCAGATGTCTGCATAGCTCATTTCATCAAGTCCTTTAGGTCTTTGCTCAAAATCACCTTGTCAACAAACCCCTCCCTGTCCAGCCTATACATAACTGCAAACCCTCCTCAACACAGAGATACATTCTCTCATTTCTTGCTTTCTTCTTTATATATCACTCTCTAACATACTATGTATTTTATTTATTTATATTCTTTCTCCCCCCTTATAAATCTCCATGAGGACAATGACTTTTGTATATTTTATTTACTGCTACATCCTCCGTACATAGAATAGTGCCTGACTTTGTTGAATGAATGAATAAATTAATATAATATTTAAAGGTCCTATACTCAAGTGTATGTGAGGGTATGGAGCATCGATTCGTTTATACACTACAGATGAGAGAGTAAATTTGTGCATCACTTTGGAAAACCATTTGGCATTGCTTAATAAAGTGGATTATTTACATGTCCAAAACCCAGTGATCCCTCTCCTATATATATCCCCTACAGAAAACCTTGCACATGTGTAATAGAAATCATGAGCAAGAATGTGCAATGATGTTAGAAAAAGAAAATGAAAACAGGGCATGGTGGTGTGCATCTGTAGTCCCAGCTATTCAAGAGGTTAAAATCGGGGGATGACTTAAGGCCAGGAGTTCAACAACTGTGAATAGCCACTGCACACTCCAGCCTGGGCAACACAGAAAGAACTTGTCTCTTTTTTTTTTTTTTTTTTTGACATGGAGTCTCCCTCTGTCACCAGGTTGGAGTGCAGTGGCGTGATCTTGGCTCACTGCAACCTCTGCCTCCCGGGTTCAAGTGATTCTCCTGCCTCAGCCTCCTGAGTAGCTGGGATTACAGGCACCTGCCACTGTGCCTGGCGAATTTTTGTATTTTTAGTAGAGATGGGGTTTCACCATGTTGGCCAGGATGGTCTCGATCTCTTGACCTCGTGATCCACCCGCCTCGGCCCTCCAAAGTGCTGGGATTACAGGTGTGAGGCACCACGCCCAGCCAACCTTGTCTCTAACAAAAGATTAAAAATAAAAATAAAGTAAAAAGCAAATTTAATGACTATTAATAGTAAAATGACAAAATCTGGAGTATTATAAAGCAAAAAAAATGAAACTACAGCTACAATCATCAATATGAATGAATACCATGATCATAAGGTGGAGTACAGTTTCAGAATAATATGTATAAAAATGGCTTAACTTATGTGAAGTCCATAAATATTTAAAAATTATGAATATATTGTTTAGATATATATATGTACACACACATACATAAACACACAAAAATTAATCATTGTGTACACACACAGACACACACACACATTATGTATATATATAATGAATCTATAAGGAAAGTCACCAGTAAAATTAACAGGTAATCCAGAGTAAAGGGAAGGAATGTGAGTCTTGGCAATCTCATGAGAGCATCAAAGGTGCTTCTTCAACAAATTGGGTGTAAAAAGAACATACTTCAACATGATAAAAGCTATATATGACAAATCCACAGCTAGCATCATGTAGAATGGGGAAAACTGAAAGCCTTTCCTCTAAGATCTAGAATAATACAAGGATGTCCATTTTCATCACTTTTATTCAACATAGTACTAGAAGTCCTAGTCAGAACCGTAAGACAAGAGAAATAAATAAAGGACTTTCAAATTGGAAAGGAAGAAGTCAAGTAATCTTTGTTTGCAGACAATATGATCTTATGTTTAGAAAAACCTAGACTCCAGCAAAAAAAAGTATTAGAATTGATAAAGTCAGTAAAGTTGCAGGATACAAAAATCGGTAGCATTTCTGTATGCCAACAGCAAACAATCTGAAAAAGAAACCAAGAAAGCAATCCCACTAACAATCACTACAAATAAAATAAAATACCTGTGAATAAACTTAACAAAAGAAGTGAAAGATCTCTACAGTGAAATCTGTAAATTATTGATGAAAGAAATTGAAGAGGACCCAAAAACTGGAAAGGTATACCATGTTCGTGGATTGGAAGAATCAATATTGTTAAAGTGTCCATACCCAAAGCAGTCTTCAAATTGAATGCAATCGTTATCAAAATATCAATGGCATTCTTCACAGAAATAGAAAAAATAATCCTAAAATTTATATGGAGCCATGGCTGGGTGTGGTGGCTCACTCCTGTAATCCCAGCAATTTGGGAGGCCAAGGTGGGCAGATCACTTGAGGTCGGGAGATCAAATCCAGCCTGGCCAACATGGTGAAACCCCGTCTGTACCAAAAAATACAAAAATTAGCTGGGCGTCGTGGTGTGCACCTGTAATCCCAGCTACTTGGAAGGCTGAGATGAGAGAATCGCTTTAACCCAGGAGGCGGAGGTTGCAGTGAGCTGAGATCATGCCACTGCGCTCCAGCCTGGGTGACAGAAGGAGACCCTGTCTCAAAATACATAAGGAGCCACAAAAAAAAAATTGTAAAAGCAATCCCGAGCAAAGAGAGCAAAGCTGAAAGCATCACATTTCCTAACTTCAAATTATACTACAAACTATATAATCAATAAAGCATGGTACTGACATGAAAAACAGATGCATGGGCCAATGAAACAGAATAGAGAACCCAGAAATAAATGCATGCATTATCACATTATCAGTCAGCTCATTTTTGGCAAAGGTGCCATGAGCATATATTGAAGAAAGGACAGTCTACTCAATAAATGGTGCTGGGCGTGTAATCTCAGCTACTCAGGAGGCTGAGGCTGGAAGATCACTTGAGCCCAGGAGTTAGAGATCAGCTTGAGCAATATGAGACCCCACTTCCAAAAAAAATTTTTAAGAAAGAAAAAAGAAGAAATGATAGTGGAAAAACTAGATACCCCTATGCAGAAGAATGAAACTAGACTCCTACTGTCAAATTCAAAAATTAAAACAAAATAAAGACTTAAATCTAGGACTTGAAGCTATGAAACAACTGAAAGAAAACACTGGGAAAGCACTGCGCAAAATTGGTCTGGGCAAAGATTTCTTGGCTAAGACCTCAAAAGCACGAGCAACCAAAGTAAAAATGGACAAATGAGATGATACCAAGTTAAAAAGCTTCTGCACAGCAAAGGAAACAATCAACAAAGTAAAGAGACAACCTATAGAATGGGAGAAAATATTTGCAAACTACCTATCTGACAAGAGATTAATAACAAAAATATGTAAGGAACTCAAACATTCAGTAGCAAAAAACAAATAATGCAATTTTAAAATGGGCAAAGGATCAGAATAGACATTTCTCAAAGAAAGACATACAAAAGACAAACAAATATATAAAGAAAATGCTCAACATTACTAATCATCAAAGAAATGCAAATCAAAATCACAATGAGAAATCATCTTACCCCAGCTAAAATGGCTTGTATCAAAAAGACAGGCAGTAACTGATGCTGGCGAGGATATGGAAAAAAGGAACTTTCCTATAGTGTTGGTGGGAATGTAAATTAACACGACCACTATGGAGAACAATGTGGAGAATTCTAAAAAAAGTAGAAATAGATTCAGAAATCCTACTGCTGGTAAATATCCAAAAGAAAGGAAATAGGTAAGTAATATTGGCATTCCCACGTTTATTGCAGTACTATTCACAATAGCTAAGATATGGAATCAACCAAGGTGCCCAGCAATGGATGAATGGATAAAGAAAATGGGGGACATATACACAATGGACCATTATGCAGCCATAAAAAAAAAGTATGAAATTCTGTTATTTGCAGCAACATGGATGGAACTGGAGGACATTTTTTTTAAGTGAAATAAGCCAGGCACAGAAAGACAAATATTATATGTTCTCATTTATGTATGGGAATTAAAAGAAAAAATTGACCTCATGGAGACAAGAGAGAGTAGAATGATGGTTACCAGAGGCTGGGAAGAGTAGCGGGGAGCAAGGGATAAAGAGGGGATAGTTAATGGGTACAAAAGTAGAGTTACTCCCCCTGAGTAAGATCTAGTGTTTGATAGCATAATAGGGATACTATTGTTAACAATAATTTGTTGTATTTTTCAAAAGAACTAAAATGGTGCTTTTGGAGTGTTCCTAACACAAAGAAATAATAAATGTTTGGGGTGATGGATATCCTAATTACCCTTATTTGATCATTACACATTGTATGTTTGCATCAGTACATCACATGTACCCCATAAGTATGTGCAAATATTTTGTATCCATAATAATTAAAAATAAAAGAATTTTAAAAAATAAAAGGTAAATCAAATAAGAAACAAAAAGATACGATAAAGTTCTGTTTCTTAATGTTACTGAAGCACCAGGGATTCAGTGTAGGTCCTGCTGCTGGCCGCACAGAAAGCCAATCACTGAGACAATTATTGCCAAGAAAGAAAACTTTAATCAGGTGCTACAGCTGAGGACATTGGGGATCAGTCTCAAATCCATCTCCCTGAGTGACTAAAATTAGGGGTTTATATAGCAGGGAAGAAATGTAACTATGTGTGAGAAAGCAGGAACTGGAAAGGGGTAAGAAAGCAATCATAATGAATGAGGGGCCTGGAGTCTCATTGTCCTGATGCCATGATGTGGTGAGTCTCAGTTCTTTGATACTGTTTGAGAGGCCTGGGGGTCCTTTCCCGAGGAAGGAACTCAGATAAAACAAAGGTAAGTTTCACACTGTAAGATCAGAAAAGTCTATTTCTACGTTTATCCAAAGAAAAAAAAAACCCAAAAACTGTTCATGGGACTATTGGGTTGGATTCATTAATTTTATGTGGGTTCATAGGGCTGGTTCTCTGTAGTATCTTTTTTTACACCTTACACATACATTATAATTTTGCAGTTTAAATCTTACCTGAATAGTGTTGGTAAGCATGCCAAACCAGGGATTTGGGGGGGTAATGCACTACTCTTTGGTCCAACCAACATTTTTAAAAACTTTATTGGATCTTATAAATTGCACATGAAAGGTATGTTTTTTATTATGAGTGAAATGTAGAAATGTATGAAGAAAAATGTTAAAAATCTGTAATCCCCCCACTCCCTTCCCATCATGAAGGATCCAATATTAAAACTCTGTGTCCTGGCTGGGTGCAGTGGCTCATGTCTGTAATCCCAGCACTTTGGGAGGCTGAGGCAGGTGGATCACTTGAGGTCAGGAGTCCAAGACCAGCCTGGCCAACATGGTGAAACCCCATCTCTTTCAAAAATAGAAAAATTAGACAGGCATGGTGGCAATGCACCTGTAATCCCAGCTACTTGGGTAGCGGAGGCAGGAGAATCACTTGAACCCAGGAGGCAGAGGTTGCAGTACAATCTCCAGTGAGACTCCATCTAAAAAAAAACCAAAAAACCAAAAAACTCTGTGTCCTTTCATATGTTTCTCCCTGTTCCCAATATTCTAGCTTAATTAATTTTTTGTTTTACAAATGGAAATATATATACATACATATATAGGTATATGCATATGCAGTTGTGTATAAAACTCAGCAACTCATTCCTTTAATAGTACATAGACTCCTTTCCAGATCAAAGTATACAGATTTAATTGGTTCTTTTAAAATACTGCATAATAACTCATTGAATGAATAGATTATAATTTATTCCAAGATTTGATTGTTCCCAATTATTTGTCACTACAAATAATGCTACAATAAACATTTTTGTCATTGATCTCAACATTCTGGATTCCAAATTGGGATTTCTGGGCCAATTTAACATTTTAGATGTTAAAAATACCTGTCTGGCCTGGCTGAGACAGCACATATCTGTAATCCAAGCATTTTGGGAGGCTGAGGCAGGTGGATCACTTGAGGCCAGGAGTTTGAGACCAGCGTGGGCAACACAGGGAAACCCCATCTCTACAAAAAAATGAAAATAAATAAATAACTCCCTGATTACTTCCTTAATCTTTTGTAGCACATTACACACCTAGCAACAGAAAATGAGAATGCTCTGGTCCCCACATCATCACCAGAGTGAAATATTACTATTTGTGTTCCTGTTTGCCAGCCTGATGAGTGAAAACAGTATCTAATTTTTGTGTTAACCACCAACATTCTTTACCTGCTGCTTCCATTCTGGTCAGCAAAGGTGGTGCAGGTACAGTGGCTTCCTAAGCACACTGCTTCTCAGTACCTCCTGGTGAGCATTTAAAAATGCTGATGCTCAGTCTTCCTCAGAGACCTACTGAATTGGAATCTTCCTGTGTTTGTTTACGTTTTAATTTCCACAAGTGATTCTGATACAGCTAACTTGGCACCTGTTCACTGACAGGCAACTGAAAATCACGAATAGAACCTATGTAGACTTGAAAAACCTACATTTCAAACCCTGTGGTGTGCGAATTAAGTATTTAAGAAAACAAGATACCCAAGTGATCATTCTGATTAAATGTTCAAAAATTCAATTCACCTGCAACATTTTAATTCTATGAATTGTTTTAACAAGGGATGATGCCTGCATGTTACTTCCTCTGCTTCAGAAACTAAAGCCTAAGATACGGGAAGCAGCTGTGGACTGGCTATTTTTGAAGGACAGTTTTCTGGACAACTGTGGATTCCTTCTTGTAGAACATGAATACTGATCTTTTTGACAATGAAATAAGGTCAAGAGAGTCTTGGCCTCTCATCGCTGGACTCTGTCCCATCCAACCTCCTCACTTGAAGCATAGAGAAAAAACTGCTACTCCAATTTTTATCAGAATGGACCTAGACAGGGCGAGGGATTTCTAAAGACAATGGCCCTTGAGGAGAGGTCAGCTCAGCTGTTTGAGAGGCGTGAATAGCAAGGCAGGGACATTCTCTCCTCTCTCCTTGAAACCAGACAGGGGGCAGCCACCTTGTTACCACACACTATGAGCTGCCACCAGGTGGCGAGTTTCCCTTATTTTCCTCAAAGCCCAAAGTACTTGAGAGAGAATAAAATGACTTCAAATTCTGGTTAAAATGAAAGTGAAGAGGAGTAGTTTATATCTGGACCATAAGTAATCAGGGATGCAGACGAGATAATCAGAGCATTGTACCGACATGTCCTGATTGAGATCTTGCCACCAATGGCTTCTGGTAGTTATGTCATATCCTCTCTGTGTCTCCGTGCCTTATTTATTCAAATGGGGATAATAACAAAACCCAACTTGTAGCGGTTATTAGGAAATGATTAATATGAGTGACGTGCTGAGATACGGCCTGGCAAGTTCTAAGCATTCAATATGCTTAAAAAAAAAAAAAAAGAGGGAGGCGGAGCTTGCAGTGAGCCGAGATCGCGCCACTGCACTCCAGCCTGGGTGACAGAGCAAGACTCCGTCTCAAAAAAAAAAAAAAAAAAGGAAAGAAAAGAAAAGAAGACGAAGAAAACCTCTGGTACAGAGGTTTTACAGCCTCATTTTAATTGCTTTCATGCTGATTTTGATTTCAGATTTCTCTTTATTCTTAAAATCTCCCAGAAAGTCATATTGACGTCAAAATTGGAAATGACCTAGTTAAAATAGATAAGTATAAAACAGGGCTCAAGTACGTCCTGTTTTGAGAAAAATCAATGTATAAAACCCTCAAGTTTAATAAAACAGATAAATTTAAGAGATTACAAAAGAGCATTTTAGAAAGAAATGAATAGCAGTCTTTCTTTAAAAGTAAGCTTCCTTTCTGCATTAAGAATTTGGTTCAACTTGTGAAACTCACTTGCTCCTAACTGCCCTGTGAAGTGAGATGAACGCATCCTTAGGATACATTGGGAAGATGAGCATTCTGCTTCTGCAACGCCTGCTTCCCCTTTTTGCACACGTTCCCTTCCCTACAAACTTGCCACACTGCCTGCCTGCCTGCAACCCATCCCCTTTTGTCTCCCAATCCTCTCCCTCCTGGAGGGGCACAGGCAATGGATGAAGATCAGGAGGATATACAACACAGTCCATGGTACAGGCTGAAGGGTGGAGAGGAGTCCTCCTCTTTCCCCCAAGCTCCAGGAAGCTCATCACATGAGTGGAAAGTTGGAGAGTGACCTGGGCGCGGTGCTGTTTACACTTGGGCAGACTTCTGGTTGGGGGCAACTTTAACTCCAGGGAGTTAATAATAATCATGTGGGCAGGGCATGGTGGCTTACCCCTGTAATCCCAGCACTTTGGGAGGCGGAGGCGGGTGGATAACCTGAGGTCAGCAGTTCGAGACCAGCCTGGCTAACATGGTGAAAACCCATCTTTCCTAAAAATAGGATGTGGTGGCGAATGCCTGTAATCCCAGCTACTTGGGAGGCTGAGGCAGGAGAATCGCTTGAACCTGGGAGGCAGAGGCTTCAGTGAGCTGAGATCGTGCCATTGCACTCTAGCCTGGGCAACAAGAGCAAAACTCTGTTTAAAAAAAAAAAATCATGTGGAAGAGGAGGAGGAGCCGTCTATTGAACTCTTTCTCTGCTATAGTTAGTTGTTGGCATGCTCCCTCAATTCCCAAAACACCTTGTGTGGCCCTGTGACATGGGGACAGAGATAAGAAACTGAGGTCACAGAATTATTATAGTCAGTGAAAAGTCTTGGCCTTAGGTTTGTCTCAAGTGTTAAACTACTACTGGGATGGAATATGTCCAAACCGAAAAAGGGGTTAGGTGAGATGAGCGTTTCTATGTAATTCTGGGGGAAAAAAATAAAAAACCACAGTGTTAGCCTAAGCTCTACTCACACGAATACAAACATAATCTGCTTCTGAGACACTTGCGCCCCTAAATCAAAACCGAAGTCCCTTAATATTCTCTCTTCGCATGTTCTCACTTATATGTGGGAGCTAAATGATGAGAACTCATGGACATAAAGAAGGGAACCACAGACATGGAGGCCTACTCAAGGGTAGAGGGTGGGAGGAGAGAGAGGAGCAGAAAAAATGACTATTAGATACTAGGCTTAGTACCTGGGTGATGAAATAATCTGTATAACAAACCCCCATGACACAAGTTTATCTATGTAACAAACCTGCACATGTACCCCTGAACCTAAAATAAAAGTTTAAAAAAAAGAAAAGAGAAAAAAAGAAGACAAAAGAAAAAAGACAGTTTAGTGTAACATATTAGCATAAATTTGGCATCAGATCTGTGTTAGAAACCCATTTCACTGCTTAAAATCTGAGTAATTTGGGGAAAACATCTCTGAGCCTCCATTTCTTCCCTTATAAAATGAGAATATTATCTACTTCTAGCATTAAAAGAGTTAACTGAGTTAACATATGTCACCAAATTTATATCAGGGCCTTGTGGCCTGGTCTCAGTCTCCATGTGATATTCAGATGAATACAATCTAATATCTGAAAGTAAACAAAAGTGATTTCAATCTTCATACTCATGTCTCTTAGACTATGATGTGGGAATGAATGCCGAACCCACAACATCTCTTAAAATTTTTTTCTGGTTCCTTTGCTCTGTCTCTCATTCCATATCTCTCCCAAAGTGTTGCTCCCATTCCCAAAACAAAACTTCCTTGAAAACCTGAACTTATTTTCCTCCTTGCTCACCCTTTTCTTCCAATCTCTGTTTTTTCTTCTCTCTATTGAGGAGAATTTGACCACATACTCATTTCCAATTATATTTCTTTCTGAACTTGACTCTGTTTCTGCATCACAAAAGCCTGCAAAGGGATTAGAAAGGGTGAGGGGGAAATGAGACCTAAACATTACTGACAGAATTTTCTTAAAATTAACTATCATTTTTTACAATGGACTTTGGGGACTCGGGGAGGGGAAAGGATGGGAAGGGGGTGAGGGGTAAAAGACTACAAATTGAGTTCAGTGTATACTGCTCAGGTGATGGGTGCACCAAAATCTCAAAAGTCACTACTAAAGAACTTACTCATGGAACCAAATACCACCTGTTACCCCAAAACCTATGAAAATAAAAATAGTTTTCAAAAATTTAGTATCATTTTTAACATAATCGGCCTACACATGCAAAGCTACTTGCTGTGGCCTGATACAAGAGCAAGTATGAAAATAAATAGATAATGTTTTATTTCCTGTTATATTATTGACTTGTAAATTTTCAATACTCTTTCCTCACTCAGTAAGCTACCTCCAGAAATATTTGTATCCTCCTCCAACCCCACACTGCCCATCAGGTTATGTTAGGAGCTTTTTTCTATAAAATAATATTTCTTCATGAAGACAGTAGTGCTGGAAAAAAATATGGACCAGAAACCAAACAGGGGGAATCCTGGGTAAGTCAATAATTTGTCCTCAATGGCGACCTATTGGCCTTTTGGACAAGCTATTCCTGGTCACGTAGGGCTGTCCTTCTCAAACTCCTGACCTCAAGCAATCTGCCCGCCTTGGCCTCCCATGAGTGCTGGGATTACAGGTGTGAACCACCGCTTCCAGCCTTGGGCTGTCCTTTGCATTGCAAGATGTTTAGCATCCTTAGCTCTGAGGTTCTATGTGGCTGTAGCTATTTTTTACTCAGATGACTCTATTCACTAGCAGTGGGCTTTTGTCCATCATTTCCACTTGCCTAAGGGAGTAATTTAAGGATTTCTTTCTATACATAACATGTTGTTCTTTGGGAAGTTTCTGATTTTAATGACTGCCCTTTTTCTTTTTTATATATAAAATTAAGATTTATTTACTTTAATTATTTATTTGCACTAAAGGACTAGATTTTTTCTTAATAACAATAAGATCATAGTTTATATTGACAATTTAAAACATAATCTTGGAAGCGATGGCTAGATTTAGAGATGTTTGTGAAAAGCCCTCCCATACAAAGCTTATTGTATCCACTCAACACATAATCAGATCCTGCAGTATTTAGACATTAATTTTTATCATTAAGTAAACATTTGAGATTCAGATAACTTTGTTTTACTCATTTATTCGCATCTTCTCTCATTTTACTCTTTCTTTTTGTCACAGGTTTATCATATTCCTATCTTTTACCCTGCATAAACAAATTGTCCCTGTTTTTTTTTTTTTGAGATGGAGTCTCACTCTGTCACCCATGCTGGAGTGCAGTGGCACGATCTCGAATCACTGTAACCTCCGCCTTCCGGGTTCAAGTGATTCTCCTGCCTCAGCCTCCCGAGTAAGTGGGACTACAGCCACCTGCCACCACACCTGGGCTGCAAGTGCATGCCTCTACGTTCAACACTTTTTTTTTTTTCTAGAAACAGGGTCTCATTTCGTTGCCCAGATTTGTCTCGAACTCCTGGCTTTAAGCAATCCTCCCACCTCAGCCTCCTAAAGTGTAGGGATTACAGGCATGAGCCAACATGCCCACCAGTCATTTGTTTTAAATATTACTTTTTTTGGTAGACCAATTTAAGTCTGTAATTTTCTCTAAGTATTATTCTGTTTATCATACATTTTTGACATATAATACTTGTATTTTCAATGAGTCCTAAATTTTATATAACCTAACTTGTTATTTACTCTTGAAACTAAGGATTGACAAGGCACGGTGGCTCACGCCTGTAATCCCAGCACTTTGGGAGGCCGAGACGAGCGGATCACGAGGTCAGGAGTTCGAGACTAGCCTGGCCAATATGGTGAAATCCCGTCTCTACTAAAAATACAAGAAATTAGCTGCGTATGGTGGTGTGTACCTGTAGTCCCAGACACTCAGGAGGCTGAGGCAGGAGAATCACTTGAACCCGGAAGGCAGAGGTTGCAGTGAGCCAAGATCACGCCACTGCACTCTGGCCTGGGCAACAGAGCGAGACTCCGTCTAAAAAATAAAAAATTAAAAAAAAAAAGAAAGAAAGAAAAGGAAAATAAACTAAGGGTTATATGGGAAATTTTTTAAATTAGGAAACATGAAAATTTTAAATGACCCTTTTGCTACTGACTTCTAAATTCATTGCACTGAAGGCAGAAAACAAATTTGCTGTTATGTTAAATGTTTCAAATTTATTCATGTCTCTTGTAGGCTGGTATATGGTTAAATTTTGTGAATGCTTAAAAACTTTAAAAGTATGTGTATGAATTTCACTTCAATTAAAAAAAGAACTGTATGTATTAATTATGCTTTCTTGATCTCTTATTTCTTTAACCAGTATATAACTATCTTGTTTGCCCTTAACATTTTCTTTTGTGTGATAAGATTGATGCCTCAGATTTCTTTTGTTTCACGTTTTCCTGTTACATTTTTTTCTATTCTCTATTTTCAGCTACTCTTTATATCCCTTTCTTAATGTTTCTTATAAATTATATATTGCTGAAGCTTGTTTTGCTATTAATCTGAGAATCTCTACTTTTGATTAATGAGTTTCACCCATTTATATTTATTGTAACCACTGTAATACTGGGACTTATTTATGTATCTCTATTCTTTGCTTTCTTTTTACCATGCTTTGTTTTGTTTCTTTTTGCATTCTCTGAACTTCCACTGGATAGTTTAAATTTTTTTCTTTTTGAGAGAAGAGCTCATTCTGTCACTCAGGCTGGAGGGCAGTGGCACAATCTTGGTTTGCTGCAACCTTCACCTCCCAAGCTCAAGCAATTCTCTCACCTCAGCCTCCCAAGTAGCTGAGACTGCAGGTGTTTTTAAGTTTTTTTTCTTTTTTTTGTGTGTGTGTGGAGATAATTTCTCACTTTATTGCCCAGGCTGGTTTCAAACTCCTGGGCTCAAGCGATCCTCCCTCCTTGGTCTCCCAAAGTGCTGGGATTACAGGCATGCACCATCATACCCAGCCTAAATTCATTTCTAGTACTTTTAGAGTTGTAAATTCTATTTTTAAAATGTCTAGTGGTTAGCGCTAACTTATAAGACTAGTAGTTATGTTTATTTCTCAACCTGTTTAAATGTTATTAATCTCTGAATCTGACCCACCTATCCCCAAATAGTTAAGAATTTTAGGAAGAATTTCTTAATTCCCATTGTACCATCTCTATATTGCTGTTGATACCATTTGGAGTTTTAGTACTAGATTATACTTTAATTTTGTTATTACTGTTTTTGGGCCCTTGTTTATTTAGATTTTAATACATTTTAATAAATTATTCATTTTGCCAGCCTGGACAATGGATTTCTCCAGCCAGATTCCTGTCCTGATCTTATACTCTTGTTTGGTTTGGCACTGCTGATATCTTGTCCTGCAGTAGTGGGGGAAAGAAAATGATCCGTCCTTCATCTGTGATCCCTGGTGCCCTCCTGTTCCAGGCCACATTCTTGGATGCTGTTCCTCCACTTCAGACCCCAGCAACTTTCCTTCATTGTAAGAATTTTTCACATTCTTATGTTGATTTCTGAACATGACTGATATTTATGTTCTCTGTATCATAGACAGCAAGTCAGGAGGGAGGGTCAGATGACCTTTGATAGTGCCGTCTTAATTGCTAGTAATTGCTAGGAATCCTCTTTTATGTTTTAAGTGTTTTATGTTCTTCACAGAATTATTGGTAGAATCAAAGAAATAATATATGTGAGAGTTTTTAAAACCTACATTACATAAATGTTCACTGTGTATTATTCATAGTGAATGGTGAATGTATTATTGAGGAGTACTTTTTTTTCCTGTAGAGCTTTGAATGGGCAAGGAACTTGGAGATAAGAAAAGCAGTAACTAGCTTATTATGGCAATTTTGTAGTACTTTCAGTGACATATTTTGAGGTGAGTGACATATTCATGACAGGGATATTAGAGAAAGCCTAGTCACTTCCTCCCTTCTCTATTTAAAATTTTCATTTAAATTTTTTGAACACAATAGACAAGAGAATACGATGCATAATGGATGTGGACTAATGGAAGAGTCAAAAGTCTATATGAGTTCATCTTCCTCTCCCATGTAATACTGACACAAACTTCAAAAAGAAAATTAGTATAAACATTACTTGTATTTGGAGGTGAATATTGACTTCATTAGGAAGATTATACCTAAGTCCTCTCTTTCATTATTCTGCTAATCCTTTCCAGAAGAAGCTTTCCTTAAAAAAATATAGGGCAAGAGAATTGATACTTTTACATAATCTTGGTAAGAATGAATTATTCTTTTTAACTCTAAAAGTTCACAATTTTTTGTGCCATTCTGCAGAATGTTTCACTTAAAAACTAAACTAAATAAATATAAAAATATACCATATTTTCTTTAATTTTCCATGAATTACCACTAAAAGAAATGTTGACAATTTGTCATTCCTTGGGATATTATAGAGACAAAGATTTTCTGTATTCTTTATACTAATGTGATAATAATTATTATTATCATTCTTTGTAGTAATTCAATAAAAAGTTATAATCACCACATTTGGAAGGCTCTAAAATGTGTCCAAACAAAAGAGAATAAAAACAAGAATTTTATTTTTAATGATACAAGAGGGAAAAAAACAGAGCATCCAAGGTTTTTGTGTGCGTGTGTGTGTGTGTTTGTTTTGTTTTTGTTTTTGTTTTTTTTAGTTTAAGTTCTAGAATACATGTGCAGAACGTACAGGTTTGTTACATAGGTATACATGTGCCGTGGTGGTTTGCGGCACCTATCAACCTATCACCCAGGTTTTAAGCCCCGCATGCATTAGTTATTTGTCTGAGCATCAGAGGTTTTTTTGTTTTTTTGGGTTTTTTTTTTGAGATGGAGTCTCTCTCTGTCACCCAGGCTGGAGTGCAGTGGCACAATCTCAGCTCACTGCAACCTCCACCTCCTGGGTTCAAGTGATTTCCCTGCCTCAGCTGGGATTACAGGCATGCGCCACCATGCCCAGGTAATTTTTTTAGTAGAGACAATGTTTCACCATATTGGCCAGGCTGGTCTTGAATTCCTGACCTCAAGTGATCTGCCCACCTTGGCCTCCCAAAGTGCTGGGGTTACAGGTGTAAGCCACCACACCTGGCTGCATCAGAGGTTTTTAAACAAACTTTGAATATTTTCCACATGTGAAGATGAAGTGATAAGGGCAAAATTGTTTTCTGTAAAACTGGTTCTCATGTTTTGCTTTGATAATTAAAGAATCCTAAATTAAATAACAACAAACTGCCTGAAAATCTGATAACAAAAACTCAAAATTATCTTGTGATAATTTTTCTAAATTTATTAGAAGGTCTGATGATCTTACTACAATCCCTGGTGCCAATTTTAAAGTGATTGATTTAGTAGACTGTAATATAAAGTATAGGCAAATTCTAATTTGCCTGAGGTGTATAAAACATTCTGACTTATTCATTAGGCTTGCCTAATATTTTAAGACGATATCCATGCAGTCTTCATAGAGTCCATAAAATAATTTACCAGTACACAGTCTATATATACTACCTCAGAGAGAGATCAGTGCAGCA
The DNA here is from genome assembly GCF_000001405.40 of Homo sapiens. Classification (NCBI taxonomy): domain Eukaryota; kingdom Metazoa; phylum Chordata; class Mammalia; order Primates; family Hominidae; genus Homo; species Homo sapiens. The sequence continues at coordinate 172,469,122 of NC_000003.12, read as the reverse complement.
GAAACATCATGCTGTTTCTTTTCCTTTTTCTTTTCTTTTTTTTTTTTTTTGAGACTGAGTCTCGCTCTGTCGCCCAGGCTGGAGTGCAGTGGCGCGATTTCGGCTCACGGCAAGCTCCTCCTCCCGGGTTCACGCCTTTCTCCTGCCTCAGCCTCCCGAGTATCTGGGACTACAGGCGCCCGCCAACACGCCTGTTTCTTCTTAACCTGTATAGACAAGTGAGGAACCCAGATGCAATTTGCCCACAGCAACTTATCAGTGAATGTTCCAGTTGGTAGGGTTCCAGTGGCATTGAACAGAACATTGAACTCAGTTGGCGTAGAAAGATAGCATAAAAAGCCTAAGGTAACATGATTCTGGGCTTAGTTAAGTCATTGGCACCTGCCCATCATTTAGGACCCAGGTTCTCTTCATTCTTCTGCTGTGCTTTGCTCATCATGTTAGCTTTTGACTCTGGCTTGCAGGATGGCTGCAGCAGCTTCAAGTACTTTACAACAGAAAAAATCTCTCTTGTATCCCCTTTTAAGACAGAAAAACTCTCCCCTAGTCACTGTTCAGAATTCTAGACATGCCCATTCTTAAATCATTCACTGGTAGGGAAAATAGAATTTCTATGTTGGACTTAGATTAATGAAGATTATCCTCCCTAGAGCTAGGGGAAGGTTCAGTCTTTTCTAAAGTATGCAGTATCCTGATAGCTGAACAAAATCAAGGTTCTGATTGCAGGAAAGACGAGTGGACAGAATGGCTGCAGGATAGGTGGTCACTAATGTCTGCTATGTTGAGTCAGAGGAAGAGCCTAAAAAGAATTGGTTCCAAAAGCAGGGCTGGGGCGGCCGGGAGCAGTGACTCACACCTGTAATCCCAGCACTTTGGGGAGCCGAGGGGGGCGGATCACGAGGTCAGGAGATTAAGACCATCCTGGCTAACCCGGTGAAACCCCGTCTCTACTAAAAAATACAAAAAATCAGCCGGGCGTCGTGGTGGGCGCCGGTAGTCTCAGCTACTCGGGAGGCTGAGGCAGGAGAACGGCGTGAACCTGGGAGGAGGAGCTTGCAGTGAGCCGAAATCGCGCCACTGCACTCCAGCCTGGGCGACAGAGTGAGACTCTGTCTCAAAAAAAAAAAAAAAAAAAAAAATGCAGGGCTGGGGCTTCCAGGGTATTTATTCTGGGGTAAGAGCATGAATATTAAAAAATAACTGGGCAATGCTATTCCCTTTTTCCTGATTTGAAATGGCAGCCTCAACACCTGACGATTTTTCAGGGAAGGGTAAAATACCATGATGATGTCTCTTAAAAGAAACAAGAAATTCCCTACATGGAGGTACCAGTGGTTTGGTATATTTGTAACTAAAATAAATTTGGGGAGATATAAAATTGAATCAATTAGGACACTTTCAGCTTCAGTTCACAGAAACCTCATTTCTGATGGGGTTACACAGTAAGAAAAGAGATCCTTCACGGGAAGTCCAAAGGCAGGGCATGATCCATGGTTGGTCGATTTGGCTCTTTCCATCTTTTGGTTCTACCTTCCTTAGTTAAGCTTCATCCTCAGGCTGGTGGCTGTAGTGATTTCAGATATCACACAGCCATTCCAGGCAGTGGCCAGGGGCAGACCAGCAGCTGCTTATTAAGAGTGGGAGGAATTTTCCCAGATGTCCTCAGTATACCTCCTCTCCATACTGGCCAGAGGTGAGTCATAGTTCATTCTTGAGTCAATCACTGACAGGAAGATTGGCTTAGTAAACATCTAGGGTGTGAGAATTCTTATTGTAGGTTTGTTTTCACTGTGATTGGAAAAACCAATTTTCTCTTACCTCTGTAATTCTAGCTAATCTAAGCTAATCTAAATCAGAGGTCAGCAAACAAATCTGACTCATCACAAGTTTTGGTAAGTAAAGTTTTATTGGAACACAGCTGCATCCAATGAGGTTTTAGGCAGGGGAATGTCTGGATTAGATTTGTATTTCCCAAAGATCACTGGCTGCAGGTGGCAAATAGATTGTGGAACAACAGTGGACAGAGAGAGATCAGTCCCTTGGGTATTGTAGCAGTTCTAGTGGGGGATTTGGAGGCATTGGTGGTAGAGATGGTGAAAAGTAACTAGAACCCTATGTGAACTGACTGGCTTTCCATGAAACATTTAAACTACCTTCAAGAAGCTTATAATGTAATAGAAGAGGTGACTCACAAGTATAAAATCACAGAAACAGTGTATAATTGGGAAATAAACTGAAAAGTTCTAACTCTGAGCACTACAGGAATTGAAAGCAGGAAATGTTTCAGGACTCCAGGGGTTAGGTCTTGGGTGGAGAAGCCAGAGGCAAGAGGTGGTGTGACGGTTAATACTGTTTCTTTTATTATTATTATTATTATTATTTTCTCATTTTATTTTATTTATTTTTTTATTATTATTACACTTTAAGTTTTAGGGTACATGTGCACAACGTGCAGGTTTGTTACATATGTATACATGTGCCATGTTGGTGTGCTGCACCCATTAACTCGTCATTTAGCATTAGGTATGTTTATTGCGGCACTATTCACAATAGCAAAGACTTGGAACCAACCCAAATGTCCAACAGTGATGGACTGGATTAAGAAAATGTGGCATATATACACCATGGAATACTATGCAGCCGTAAAAAATGATGAGTTCGTGTCCTTTGTAGGGACATGGATGAAGCTGGAAACCATCATTCTCAGCAAACTATTGCAAGGACAAAAAACCAAACACTGCATGTTCTCACTCACAGGTGGGAATTGAACAATGAGAACACATGGACACAGGAAGGGAACATCACACACCGGGGACTGTTGTGGGGTGGGGGGAGCGGGGAGGGATAGCATTAGGAGATATACCCAATGCTAAATGATGGGTTAATACTAAGTTTGAACTTGATTGGATTGAAGGATGCAAAGTATTGTTCCTGGGTGTGTCTGTGAGGGTGCTGCCAAAGGAGATTAACATTTGAGTCAGTGGACTGGGAGAGGCAGACCCACCTTCAATGTAGGGTGGGGTGGGGGGCACCATCTAATCAACTGTCAGGGGGGCTTGAATAAAGCAGGCAGAAAAAGGTGGGAGAAGCCAACTTGCTGAGTCTTCCACCTTCATCTTTCTCCCGTGGTGGATGCTTTCTGCCCTCGAACATCAGACTCCCAGTTCTTCAGCTTTTGGACTCTTGGACTTACACCAGTGGTTTGCCAGGGGCTCTTGGGCCTTTGACCACAGACCGAAGGCTGCACTGTCGGCTTCCCTACTTTTGAGGTTTTGGGATTTGGACTGGCTTCCTTGCTGCTCAGCTTGCAGACGACCTATTGTGGCACTTTACCTTGTGATCATGTGAGTCAATACTCTTTAATAAGCTCCCCTTCATATACACATCTATCCTATTAGTTCTGTCCCTCAGAGAACCCACCCTGACTAATACGGGGGGCAAGAGGCAGAACAGTGAAGGAAGGGACCTATAGAGCAGAGATGGTTCAATGGGAGGGAGGGACAAATATTGCTACATAGGCAAGGTAAGGCCCAATTATGAGAACTCTGGAAGGCCAGAGTTTAAAAGACTTGATGTGAGATTAAACAAGGAGCTATTACAAATGTTTATACTGCCTGAGAAGGATAGAGATGAAAGCAAGATTTAAAGAAGTCTAGTTCTGCCAGATTTTTGTGGTTAATTAGACCAAGAAGAACTTGCTGCCCTCATGGTTGTTGAATGAGGGACTGGACTTAGAAATGGAGATAAGAGGTGGTTATTAGGAACATCCAACAGGTTAAAAATAATGAATTTGCTTTGGACATACAATGAGCTTGAAATGATGATGAATTATCCAGTAATAAATGTGCAGAGGCAATATAAACTGGATGATTTTATTTGCATCTCTCTGTACTGTTTCCAATCCCGTGTTGTCTTCTCTTAATAGCCCTCCAAAAAGGAATGTTTCATGATTTGTACAAAGGAAAATTCTGGACTCTAAAGAACTTGGTAAGACTTTACAGAATGAAATATTTTGATAAATCATCTCAATCTTATATTAAATATTACTTTCACGCAATAAAATTTAATTGCTTAGTCATAGATTTGCTTGCATTTTTTACCAGTTTTGATAAGCAACTATTGATATTTAGAAAATCTAACAATAGTAATTATAAGAGCTGTAAACAGAGTCCTATTTTAGTGATCTTGCTTAGATAAAAAATAATTTATAATATTTAACTTTCCTTAAAACTAATATATATTGCAATCTTTAGCAAAATAATCTTGAGATATATTGGACATTTTTGTAAATAAAGCATACATGCATGTCCTGTTTGCGAGTTTTTTACTGGTTTATTAATGACCCACCTCCATTGTGCCTTTTTGTCAGAGATGAAAGTATGTTTTATCTCTTTATCCTCCTACCCCTCAACTCTGCTGAAATAAACTACCACCAACATGCCAATATAGTATTTCACGGAAAAATCTCAAATTTCAAAGATCCAAACACATTACAAATGACAAACACCAAAAGAACAATATCTTTGCTACAGAGATTAGCTTCAGAGAGGACAACAACTGTTGAAGGCATCTGCTAAGTGGGAGTTTTAATTCAATGGAATTTGTTGTAACTCTATCAGCAAAGCTCAATTGCTGTGCACCATCTGTTGAGGCTTTGAAACTGCCTTGCTTATATAGAACCGGATGTAACAATCATACCCATTATAGTAGAATACTATTTTTTACTAAATTTTCGTCTTTCCATTTATTTCCCGATGCTTTCGGAGTCCTTAGAAGACGAATTGGCAAGAAAAAACATAATCTCAAGAGTCAAAGGGACAATTCAACAACAAATAAACAACCTGATTTTAAAACAGGCAAAGAACTTGAATAGAAATGTCTCCAAAAAGATATATACATGGCCAATAAACATATGAAAAGATGCCCAACATTGCTAATTGTTAGAGAAATGCGAATCAAGACCACAATGAGATACTACTTCACTTCCATTAGGATGGTTTTTATAAAAAACAAACAAACAGAAAATAGTAAATGTTGGCTAGGATATGGAGAAATTGGAACTCTTGTTTACCACTGGTGGAAATGTAAAATGGCATAGCCACTGTGGAAAAATATATGGCAGTTCCTAAAAATATTAAAAAATAGAACTGCCATATGTATCTAGCAATTCCACTTCTGGGTATATAACAAAAGGAATTGACAGCAAGGACTTGTATAGATATTTGTACATCCATGCCCAAAACAACATTATTCACAATAGCCAAAATTAGAAGCAGCCCAAGTGTTCATTGATGGGTGAATGGATAAGCACAATGTGGTATATAGACACAATGGAATATTATTTGGCCTCAAAAAAGAAGGAAATTCTAACACATGCTACAACTTGGATGAACCTTGAAGATATTATGCTATATGAACCTCACAATGAGGTTCCAAGGCCCTGATTTTGACCACAGTATTCCCTGCTGCCCAGTCTGCCATCCCTTGACCTGCTTTCTAAGTCTGGTTTTACAACCTTTCTGGAAATCACGATTTCACTGAAAGTTTAAACTATTCATGATACATTTATAGAAAAAAATGTGTATATTGTGTATTTAGCTATCATTTATTGAGCATTATAAAATGTGTCAGGCACTGTTGAGAGGCTGAGAATTCAATAGTTCCTAATGCAAAATAGGCATTAATCAAAGAACCACACCAATAAAAAGGTGTGGTTGCCTGAAAGCATATACCTACTTGAGGGCATTGACCCAGATAGTCAGGGAAGACTTCCTTGAGGAAGTGGTAGCTGAAGTAAGATCTGAGTGATGCAGAGGATTTATCCTGGCAGAGCAATGGGAGATTTTAGTAGGACTTTCCAGAGAGAGGAAACAGCTTGGACCCAGAGCCAGGAATGGAGGAAGTATGGCATTTTCAAGAAACTAAATGATCAGCATGCTGTGCAATAGGCCAGAAACATAAATAGGGTCAAGGCAGTGGCTTATAAGTCATCTGTCAATCTTGAGATTTTGGTTGTTTTCTGTAAAAACAATAGAGAACCAATGAAGGGTTTTAGTGTGTTTCGGTGAGAGAGATGATATGATTAAATTTACTATGCCTGCCTTTTGGAGAATAGATTGTTGAGGTTCAGAGTAGCTATAGGGCACCAGTTAGACAGTATTGGTGACAAATTAGATATGAGTCACAGAAAAGAAGGAGATTGGAGGTAGAAAAGATGACTCCTTGGTCTTTAGCTTGCATAGCTGGATGGATACTGATGGACAGTGATCACTGAGGTAGGAAACATATCATCAGATCTTAGTTCAGTTTGGAATATGGTGATTTTTATCATCCACCAAGATCACAAGTTAAGTTTAGAATATGTTGATTTTTAGGGGCCTTTGAGACATACAGATGAAGATGGTAAATAATTTTTGTATTTAGAGATCAGAAGAGATATAAAGATTAGGCTTATTTATGGAGAAGTGAAGGAACTCAAGAGCATAAGTGAAATCACCTGGTGAGAGTTTACAGCAAGAAGAAAAAAGGACTTAGGAGTCTGAAGGAACTCTAAAATTTAAATGCTGGATAAAGAGAAATGAGTCTTTAAAAGAGGAGAGAATGATTAATTAGAAAAGTAGGAAGTTAAAATAAAAAATAGGATAGTGCTGGCCGGGTGCAGTGACTCACGCCGGTAATCCAAGCACTTTGGGAGGCCGAGGTGGGCAGATCACGAGGTCAGGAGATCGAGACCATCCTGGCTAACACGGGGAGACCCCGTCTCTACTAAAAAAAAAAATACAAAAAATTAGCCGGGCGTGGTGGTGGGCACCTGTAGTCCCAGCTACTTGGGAGGCTGAGTTGGGAGAATGGCATAAACCCGGGAGGCGGAGGTTGCAGTGAGCCAAGATTGTGCCACTGCACTCCAGGCTGGGTGACAAAGTGAGACTCTATCTCGGAAAATAAAAAAAAAAAAGGGATAGTGCTGTGTCACAAAAGTAAAGAGACAGTGTTTCAGAAATGCAGGTCCACAGTGTTGGATACTGCTGAGAAGCAAAGTGAGATGAGGACTGAAAAAAATGTAACAGCATGAGAATCATTGGCGACTTGAGTAACTTTGTTTTAATCAAGAATTGGAGATAGAAGATCAGAATAGGCTGACGTTTCAGTAGGTTTTGCAACAAGAAAGAAAAGAGGTGGAATAGATGTAGATTGAAGAAGGGAAAAGTTTTTTGTTTGTTTTCTAATTGAAAAGTCTTGAGCATATTTAAAAGCTGATGGGAAGGAGAGAGAGTCTAGGTGTATAAGAGAAGGCATAATACATAATGTAAATGTTCTGAAAGTGGAATAGGATGGGTTCCAAGCGAAGGTAAAGTAATTGGCCTCAGAAAGAAAAAGAGCTCCTCTAGTGGAGAGAGAGAGAATAGCAGTGGGATAGCTAAGAGGTCACTAAGCGTTAAGAATAAGTTTGAGTTTGGGAAGCTGAAAGAGTTTATGTTTTATGGATTCTATTTTCCAACAGTAACTGGCTAAGTTCTCTTCCGATTTTGAAGAGGAAGGTAGGGGGTGGGACTGAAAGTTGGAGAAATATGAATTTCTTTTAAGTTGTTGCTGAGAAGGACAGAGAATGAATTGACCAGGAAAATGTAGTAAGATTTCTAAGCAGTGTTGAGGGCCTACTTGAGATCAGTGATTATAAATTTAGGGAGAAGCCAATCTTTCCTTTACTGGGATGTTCTCCAACAAACCTAGGTTGCTTAGATGCAAGTAAAGGAGAGGAAATTTCTGAGTTTATTCAAGGTTGGAATTTTGCCAGAGAGAAAAAGAGAGCCAGGAAGTTTCAGATATTAACAGAAGTGTTATTAAATAACAAAGCATGAAATCCAAGCTGCCAAAAGCAGAAAACGGAGAGAATAAGCATGGTGGACTATGAGAAAGTGAGAGCCCGATGGTGGAGCAGTACCCAATCAGCCCCCAAAATTTAGAGATTTATGTATGTCAATATACTGTAATTAAAACCGAAATTCAAATGAGGTATTAAAATAAATGCTCAAGAGTTGACAGAATAGGTGAAACAAATTGACAAAATATTTTTAACAGTTGAAGCTGAAGGATACACAGGCTTTCATTGTACTGGTGAAGAAGAACTTCGGAAAAAACAGAGACAGTGCAGGGAGCAAAAAAAAAAAAAAATCCCCCCAAAATATAATTAATGTTTCCAAGCACTATGAGATGATATTGCATTTATGAAATAAGAATGAGCATCAGAAAGAAAAAAAAATTTCCAGAACTGAAGGACATAAATTGAAAAGCCAAAAGAGCATCACGCTCAATGAATGGGAAAAGACCCACACCATATCACATCTCAAGACACTTTGAAACACAGGAATCAGAAAACATCCACTGAGCTTAATCATCTTTCTCAGTCCTTTACCCTCCTCATGCCCTCACTTATCTCCTTCAGTTTAAACTCAGTTGTCAATTATTCTAACCAATTCCTTGGATAGAACCTTAATATCTGTCCTTCTTGTACTTTCTCATCTGTTCTGAGCAAAAGCACAATCTGGTTAAGTTAAATGTCTCTCCACTCCATTTCTGTACCGAGTGCAGCTGGAACACAAAGATGGGAAAACAAACAGTCGTATTGACTGGTGTAATTTTAAAGCCATGATCATTAACTTCAAGTGGGCCCTTACTGATTCCCAGCAATCAGATGATAGTACCCTTCCCTCTCCCAGGCAACTACTTCCCATTGTGTTCCTCTCTTCCAACCTCCAGCATCTCCCCACACCCATTCTCAGCTGTCCCCTCGCTTTCTATATTGCCAAGGAAACTGAAGCCATCAAAGAAGAATTCCTGCAGCCTGGCCCTCTACACCTACCCATTCTCCTACATCTGTGCCCACGTATTCTTCATTCTCTCCTGTTTTGGGGCATGCATTAGGCACACTCCCCCTAAGGCCCACCCTACCTCTTGAGCACTAGATCCAACCCCTCACAGGAACACTGCTCCAGCCATTCTCCATTCTACCACACCATCAGCTTCCCCATTATAGGATATCATCCCCAACAGCATACAAACCACTGTTATTTCTCACACCTTTAAAACAAAAACTTTCTTGACCCCATATCTCCTCTAGTTACCACCTCATTAGTCTTCCTCCCTTTGTGATAAAATTCTTTGGAAGAGTTGTCTATACTCAATGTCTCCAAATTATTTTCTCCCATGCTCACTTGAACCAACTAGGTTTGCTCCAACATGCCACCAGGTTCATTAACTAATAATTACCGCCATGTTGCTAAATACAATGGTCCATTCTCATCTTACTTGACCCATGGCAGTATATGATACAATTGATCACTCCTGTCTTGATATATTTTCTTTCCTATCTTTTAGAATATCACAGTTTCCTGGCTGGAGTTCTACTCCACTGACCACTTATGAGTATGTTTTGCTAGTTCGTTCTCATGCCTCTGATCTCTAAATGTTTGGGGAAGGCTCTAAATCTCTAGGCCCTTGAACATCTCTTTTGTAGCTATGCTTATTTCCTAGCTTATCTCAACTGGCATCCTTATTTTAAATACTATTTATTGCTGACCACACCCCAATTTTTTATCTCCAGCCCCGAACTCCATACCAGTATATCCAACTGTCTTCTTAAGTTCTCTACTAAAATTTCTAATAAGCATCTCTAATTTCATACATCTAGCATTAAGCTTTTAATCTTCCTTTCAAAATCTGTTTCACCTCCAGTCTCTCCTATATCAGTTAATGGCAACTCCATACTTTACAGTTGCGCAGGCCAGTAGATATATATACCTGTTACATAAGCATAGCATATAGATTCTAACTTTTAGAAGTCCAGAACTCAACTATTTCTCACCACTATCATGTCAGTTCTCTGGTCTAAGTCACCAACATCTCTTGTCTCCATAACATCTTGCCTGGATTGTTAAAATAATGTCCTAAATGGCCTCCCTCCCACTGCCTTTGTTTCCCTTTCATCTTTCTCCTAAACAGCAGTCAGAGTGATCGGATTACAAGTATTAGATCATGTCACTCTTCTGCCTTAAATCTTCCAGTGATTTTCCATCTAATCAGAGTAAAATATCATAGCTATAACTTTAAGAAGTTCACCATTTGGTCTCATTTTCTCTTTTAACTCACCTCCTGTCACTCTCCCATTTGTTTGCCCCACTACAGCCACATTGGCCTTTTTGCTGCTTCTCCCACAAGCTAGACCTTATCTTGCTGTATGAGATCCAAGAAACAGAACCTCAATGAATGACATAGAATAAGTGATTAATTTTAGAGCTCTGACCTTATGCAACTGAGGTAGCTTGTTAAACACTTTATAAATTTCTGTTGCTTCTGCATATGATGCTGATTCTGAAATTAGCATGGCAGGAATTTGGGAAGAAAAGACAGATAGAAAGTGGGGGAGATCAAGTGCAATATGAGACCCTTGAGAAGGAGCTGGAATGAATGATGAACTGGAACTCACATGTGTCTCTTCAGAACCCACAGTGATCTCTCACCACCTCCAAACTCTAGCTCCAATGCTGCAGGTGGAGCATTCTCTGTTGGAGAAGTTAGTGCCTTTTTTCATGGAGTTAAACATGCACACGGCCCAGTGGTTGAAGAAATTGAAAGAGGACATCCATCAGAAGCTGGAAGAGCTGTGGTCCCAGCTGCTGCCCCATATCAACAAAGGCAGCAACCGCATGAGCTACAATAGCACCTGGCCTACATTAATATTCTGAGGAAAAAATGACTGCCGCTTCATTTTTACCTTTCCAAACTTGAACAAATGACTCTTGTGGCCAATCCTAGCCAAGAACCACACTTGGAAACTCCTTGAAATTAGCTTAGCTAAGTAGACAGTACAAAGTCACCATACCTCCCACAGAACCTTTATTTCCTCTGCCTGGAATGCCATTGTCTTCACCCACTAATATCCCCACATCCTTCAAGGCTTCATTCAGAAGTCATTTCCCTGGCTATCCTATCTAAAATTTTATTTCTGTTTTGATTTTTCATTGTTTTATTTTCTTCCTTAGCACTTGTCACCGTCTAACCCATTATGTGTTTTACTTATTTATCTTTATATTATTTATTTCACCTGCTGGAATATAAGTGCCCAGAGGATAGAAATTTTTGTGTCTTTCACTTACTTCTGTATTCTCAGTTGTAAGAATAGAGCCTGGCACAAAACAGGTGCTCAGTAAATATGTGTAGAATAAATTAATGAATCTTAAAACATTTCAGAGAAAAAAATAACTGCATTTTATACAAGTGATCAGGAATTAGAATAGTGTTGTATTTGGGAAATTCCAGGGAGCAATTCCTTTGAAATTCTTAGGGAAAGTGATATCTGAAGTAAAATTCCATAACTGGTATAGACTGAATGTTTGTGCCCACCCCTTCAAATTCATGTATTGAAATCCTAATTTTTTTTTTTTGAGATGGAGTCTCGCTCTGTTGCCCAGGCGGGAGTGCAGTGGTGCGATCTCAGCTGACTGCAAGCTCTGCCTCCCGGGTTCATGCCATTCTCCTGCCTCAGCCTCCCCAGCAGCTGGGACTACAGGCGCACACCGCCATACCTGGCTAATTTTTGTATTTTTAGTAGAGATGGGGTTTCACCGTGTTAGCCAGGATGGTCTCGATCTCCTGACCTTGTGATCTGCCCACCTCAGCCTCCCAAAGTGCTGGGATTACAGGCGTGAGCCATCATGCCCGGCCGAAATCCTAATGTTAAATGTAAGGGTATTAGGTGGTGTGGTGGTGGGGCCTTTGGTGGGTGAGTAGGTCATGGCAATGGAGTCTTCATGAATGGGATAGTAACCATATAAAAGAGGTCCCAGAAAGCTTCCTCACCCCTTCTGCCATGTGAGGATGCAGTGAGAAGATGGCTATCTAGGAAATCAGAAAGGATGTCATCACTGGACACAAAATCTGCCTTGATTTTGGATTTCCCAGCCTCTAGAACTGTGAGAAATAAATTTCTGTTGCTTATAAGCCACCTGGCCTATGATATTCTGTTACTGTGGTACAGACTAAGAGGATAACTAAACTCCCAATAAATTGTTATGGTACAATAAAAATACTCATAATATAAAAGTTCCTCAAAAATGTATCTTCCATGTACCTTTTTTCAACAAGTTATTGGAGAATGTGCACCTTCTTAACAGAAAGTGAACCGAAAAAGAGGAAGACACAGTACCTGGCCAGGCAAAGGAGGTACCCAAGAGGATGGTGAACAATCAGGACAATAACCTGTGTAACAAGCCCAGAGAGTACTAGTTCAGATTGGAGTAGCGGAGTGTAGGTATCCAGAAGCACTGTCCCAAAGAAACAGGTCGAAATGCGTAAAATAACCTGTTGAGTTAAAAAATGTTGAGAGGAAGATTAGTAGTAGTTATTCAGAAACTAGGCAAATCATCCAATAAGGTGGTTATAACACCAAGGAAAACAAAAGGTGTTTCAAGAAAGGAGAATATTATCACAGTGTACTATGTGGTTCAGATTTAGTAATATCTACATCAGCATAAAATGTGAATATTGAGGATAAATCTAATCCCAAAATTATAGTATGATTACATTTGGAAGATGAAAGAGGGGAGGGTGTGTGTGTGTGTGTGTGTGTGTGTGTATGTGTGTGCGTGTACCCATATATGGGTGATTCATGAGTTGAGAGTATAAAAGAAATAAATAAGCTTCTTTCATAACAGTATACCAATACATAATAATGCATAATGCATAAATCAGTGCCAATATGGTTTAATAAGCCCTGTATAAGTATTTGAAATTATAAACCTATATGTAACTTTGATAACTATTAATAGATAAATTCTGGTATTAACTAGGCTTTAAAGGACTAGGTAAAAGTAGTAATGCTTAATATCAGATGCAAAACTAGTGGTATGAGTATCAGTAAAAATATGGAAAGTCCCACTGAAATATCTATGGGGAAAATTCAAAAAGAGATGGGTATAGGAGACTTTCTAACATGTTTGAGTTTTTAAGAAACATGTTACTTCTATAGTCAGAAAATCACAAAGATTTTAAAATGAATCTCTAAATTGTAAAATTATTTTAATTTTCATAGTGATTACTTATGATAATAGGTCTCATTTGCTAATTAGAAAATGATTTTTACCGGATGTGGTGGCTCACACCTGTAATCTCACCACTTTGGGAGGCCAAGGCAGGGGGATCGCTTGAGCTCAGGAGTTTCCGACCAGTCTGGGCAAGATGGCAAGACTCCATCTTTACAAAAAATAAAAAAAATTAGCCAAGCCTGGTGGTGTGCACCTGCAGTCCTAGCTACTTAAGAAGCTGAGGTGGGAGGATCCCTTGAGCCCAGGAGTTCGAGAATGCAGTGAGCTGTGATTGTGGCACTGCATGCCAGTCTGGGCTAGAGAGCAGGATCCTATCTCTTAAAAAATAATGCTGCTGATGATTTTTAAGGTACTTGAATGCGAAGATTATTTTAGATATATATTTCTACTCCTCTGTTGATATACTTGATATTAAATATACATTCTTACAGCTTGCTGGTCTGGAAAGAGCAATGTGTACTTCTTGCTTTGAAATATGTACATGACATTATTTAAATGAGGCTACATGATGTGGTAGAGAGAGTATAAGTGATGAAGCCAGATATATTAGTACATTGTGTTCAAAGCTTGAATAGAACATTAAAATAAATGATATATTTTATGAAAAGTACAATATAGTGTTTAAATTTCCTTATAAGCCTTCTTATATGTTCTATATTTTTATTAAAATGAAATATAAATTTAATCAACACAGGAAATGTTTGTTTTAGGTGCTCTACTACCTACAAGACATTGTACTAGGTCATCTAAAGAAAAATATGTCTTTGCTTTCAAATTACTTACAGTCACATTGGGAAACATGGCAGAAACTGTAAATTGTTTATTCAAATCTAGAACCCTGGGAGTGATAACGTGCCCTGCTATAAATGTGTATTTTCCAGCCTCTCTTGAAAATGGAGTTGGCCAATGTAACGTGAGAGTTTTGAGTCAGAATTTTAAGAAAGCTCTTTATCCCTGCCTCTCTGTTTCTTCTTGCCTGGAACTCATTTAGATGACTGGGAGCTCCAGCACCAATCTTGAGCCAGGAAGCAACCTTGATATTGGAAGCCACTCACAAAGGATGGTGGAGCAGAGAGGCAAAAGGAGCATGAGTTCCTGATACGAGTCCTGGGCAGTCTATATTCCGATTTCCCTTAGAAGCAAAATGAATCCATAAGATTTTATGTTTTTTCAGTCTCTTTTTTAGGTTTCCTGATGTATGTATCCAATCTTTATCCTGATTAATACATGAAATATGGTATCAAAAAGTGAAATTTTAATAATTAAAGAGTACATGGCACATGGCAGTGTACAATTCATTGAGTGGTACAAATCCAGCATGGATAGGCAGTATATAGTGCCTGAGTGTTGAGACTGGGCTCTGAAAATACATATAGAAATTTAATACAAGACAAGAGTCACCTTAAATTATTAAGGAAAAGGCAAACTTTTTAATAAATGATGCTGAAACAACTGAGTAACCATTTGGAAAAGGATAAAATTGGATCCATATATCATTTCATGTTCCAAGATAAATTGCAAATGGATTCAGAAATATAAGTGTTAAAAACTAAAGCCAAAAAATAATAGAACAAAACACAGATTCCTTTATAACTTAGCAGTGAGTAAAGCCTGCATAAATATGACTCAAAATCCAGAAACAATAACAACAAAGACTGACTAATTTGATGACACAGAAATTTAAAACTTGTGTGTGTCAAATAAAGAAAAATACCCATAAGTAAAATTGAAAAGACAAATGAACAGCTGGGAAAAAATATTTTCTATTTATGTTCTTCCAAAGGACTATCTCTCCAACACAGAAAGAGCTCCTAGAAATCAATTTTTAAAAGCAGAAAAACAACCCAATAGAAAAATGGGCAAAAGTCATAGTCCAGCAGTTCACGTGAAAAGAAAAGCAAATGGCCCTTAAACATATGAAAATATGCTCATCTCACTCAAAATAAAGGAATGCAAAGGAAAAACACAATGAGAAACCATTTCTCACCTAACAATTAAATTGGCAAAAATTCAAAAGTTGACAACACTATGGTAGAGGCTGGGAGAAATCAGGCACTCTCATCCATTGCTAGTGAAGATAAAAGGTGATACAATCCCATGGAGAGGAATGTAGCAATATATAACAAAATTACAGGTACTTTGACCCTTTGATTCAACAATCCCACTTATAAGAATATAATGTAATGTTGTATCTGTTACTTCATACCAAATTTCTCTATATATGTTTTCACAGCCCAGACTTGACGATCAGGCACTATACACTGTGTCTCCATGCTGTATTGTGCCATTCAATGATTTGTATACCGCCATGTATCATCTCTTCTTTTATTAAATTATTTTATATTATTTTGTAATACAGCTGTACACATATAAAATGATATATACATTATCATTTATAGCAATAAAAGATTATTAAAAACACAAATATTCATCAATAAACATTGGTTATATGAAACTAAGGTACATCTTCATAAATGGAAACTGTGTAACTTTCTCTAGGTGGATTATTGAAAGAAAACATTAAAAAATTGCTATGAGAGAATCCCAGGATATAATATTAAATTGAAAAGGCAACACAGAAGACAGTCTGGTATGAATGTATGGTATACTACCTTTTAGTAGGTCACACACACACACACACACACACACACACATAAACTTAGAAAAAGAAACACACACGACAGATAAATTAGAAGCTAAAATTTTTAAATGTTATCTTTTGAAAAGTAGGAAAAGAAAATAACATTTTCCTGGGTATACTTTTGTTTAAAGTTTTAAATTTAGAACCATACTTTAACATTTTAATTGTTAGATCAAGAAAATGTTTTATATATTAAAAACTAAAATTTTAAAGCAAATTTAAAATTTAAAAATAAATAGAAAATTTAAAAATTGAAAGTAATGGAAACAAATGAACCATGTATCAAATTGGTAAATAACCACACATAGAAAAACATTGTTTCAAGTAATTTGAAAATACAGCAATTGTACAAACTTAGTGGGATATACTGTAAGGACAAAAGAGAACTGCAAAAACATCTCAAACTTCATTTGTCAATTTTATTATTAGTGGTAATGCTGACGTTATTAGTCTGAAATCATTTTATGTATAAGATAATTATGTTTATGTTGTTAGAAACAAGATGTTCAGTATAAATATCAACTCAAAGAAGTTAATAATTGGAAATTGAATCAGAAATATCTATACAAATGTATGAGTTTTGAACTTTAATTTGAAAGTAATTTTAAACTTATAGAAAATGTGCAATTATAGTGCAAAGAAAATCATTTTACCGTTTCGTAAGATTTACCTGTTATTAACATTTTGCCCCATTTGCTTCCTCATTTGCTCTATCTACACACACACACACACACACACACACACACACACACATGATTTTTTTGAAACAATTGAGAGTAAGCTGCATAAATCACAGTTGAGTGTGCATCTCTAAGAATAAGAACATCCTCTTCCATGTAGCTGTCAACTTCAATAAACCGAACATTGATCAGAAATTAAAATTAGAAATTACATTTAGTTGTTATGTCTCTTTGGTGTCATTTGTTCTGGAACATTTTCTCAGTCTTCCTTTGTCTTATGTAACATTGAAATTTTTGGAATAATTTTTTAAATAAATGATTCCTCATTTTGAGTTTGTCTGATGTTTCCTTGTGATTAGATTGAGGTTCTTCGTTTCTAGCTGGAATGCATATAAGTGACATTGTGTCCTTCCCAGGGTATCATAGTGGTGATGTTAGTTTTGTTCATCTGCTCAGGGTCTGTCTGATTTATCTACAGTATCATAATTATCATCTCATGATTTATAGATATCTAGATATTGTGAGATGATAATGATTATACACACACTCATCTATATATGTGTATATATATGTATATAGTACATAGCCTATATATATACACACCATATATATGTATAGAATATATAGCAATATATATATTATAGCAATAAAAGATTATTAAAAACTCACAAATATTTATCAATAAACTGGTTAAATGAAACTAAGGTACATCTTCATAATGGAAACTATGTAACTTTATTTATATGTATAGAATATACATATAATGTGTATACATATGTATATATCCTACCTTTGTCTGCAGAACCTAGACCATAATGCTCCAGGGATAATAACCAACCCCACTGCCCAAATGTTGGTCTCTAAATGCTGTTTCCCACTGCGGATACCAGGGATTCTTGAAATAATGGTTGCTCCTAGGTATAGTGTGGAGAATTTACAAGGTGAGCTTGAGGCATCTCATTGTGCCACAAAACACAGCATGTAAGCTCTAAAAATCTAAGTGAGTTATGTCAAAAGGACCCTGGAACCAACTTGAAGTGGATCTCATTGGCCAAAGATGGGACAATTTGAGTGTCTAAAAGAAAACAATCGCCGTAACTGATTGGTATGCACTTACTATATAAAAATCCACAAGTCAATAATAATACTCTTTACACCATTCATAGAACAAGGCATACTGAATGTCACTCCAAAATGCTTTTGTGTCCGTTGTCTGAATGGTTGAGCAAGTTTTCCTTTTTCTGATGGAACTGAACTTTTCCAAGATCCAGCTCAGATGCTGCTTCCTCTGAGAGGCCTTCCCTAAAGCCTCCACGTGGTTCATTCATTCTCTGAATTCCAACAGGGCTCATTGTACATGCCTCTTTAAATGCACCTATCAATACTGTACTAGCATTACTTATTTAACTGTATTTTTCTCTCTAGACTATAAGTTTATAAATATAGGATCTGTCTGGGTTTTATTTATTTTGTTATCCTAGTACCTACCACTTACTAGAGATAGTTTTATATACGGTATTACATAATATTTCACATGTTGTGAATAAATAGAGCAACTACAATAGCACCCTCTGTTTCTTCTTGGTCATGCAATATAGATTTGTCTATATTTTAGAAACTGGTTGAGTGCCATTAAATGGCTGGCTATTTTAGCTAACATGAAAATTTTTTTTATCACAATAGTTTTGGTGGTTTTTGTTTTCAGTTTTTTCAACTATCAGCCATAGCTTTAGCACTGAGTAGACTAGAAATATATCCAACAATATTTTCCTGATTCTCAGTCTTAGGCAATAACTTCCCATAGTATTCTGATTTATCCCAGTCCACTTTCTCTCCCTTTCTTTCCACATACATCAACCTACTGATAATATAGGTCAGGGAGTAACAAAGTTATTGATTAAATAAAAACTTGTTTGTAATTGGTAGTTTGACTTAGTTGTAATACTTAAAAAATAGTAGTCTGAAATTAATGTTTTAAAAACTCAATTTGGGGCCGGGCACAGTGGCTCACGGCTGTAATCCCAGCACTTTGGGAGACCGAGGCGGGCAGATCACGAGGTCAGGAGTTCGAGACAAGACTGGCCAGTATGGTGAAACCCTGTCTCTTCTAAAAATACAAAAAAAAATTATCCAGGCGTGGTGGCACACGCCTGTAGTCCCAGCTACTAGAGAGACTGAGGCAGAAGAGTTGCTTGAACCTGGACTTATGCGCTCAGAAGTCCAAACGGGTGGGAGATCCAATACTGGGAGGCGGAGGTTGCAGTGAGCAGAGATCGCGCCACTGCACTCCAGCCTGGGCGACAGAGGGAGACTCCGTCTCAAAACAAAACAAAACAAAACCAGCAAAACAAAACAAAACAAAGCAAAACGAAACAAAACTCAGTTTGGTCCAATGTCTAACACACCAGCGGCAACCAAACCACTATGTTAAATTTCCTGTATCAAACTTCTCTCATGTAGTAATTTACTGCATGGAGTCTTTCACGCATTTGTGCACACATTCAGTCTTAGGTCTTTGTGGACTTTTAAGTATTAACAATTTAGGTAGTAGAGGTGGTACAAACTGTCTGTGAAAGGCAAGTACAAACGCATTCAACTGAGGGGGATACTCTCTCATACACAGTACGTGGTATCTCATCGGGTGAGCGCCGATGTGTATGGTCAAGGCAGTGACTAACGCCGGCCTGTGCTTCGTGGGAGTCTGCCCTGCTCCTCCGTGGGGTAGGACTGAGGCGTTAGAAGCGCAAGTTAAAAACGGTGGGAGTGACAGGGAAGCCATTCCTCCAGCGGCGCTTTGCGGTAGGATGGATGTGGCGCTGGCCACAGTGCTGAATATGTTCCTGGGGCGGTCCCGAGGTCGGTGGGCCGGGAGGGGCCGGTCGGATTTGTGAATTCGCTGGCAACTGGCAGTCTCATGCCTTCGGGTGCTGATTTCTGGCTCTGAGCAGGAGACGCACAGACCGCGTCCAGAGGGTCACCTTGCTAGTGTAGGGGTGGCCTTTGACCTGTTCCCACCGGCACAGCTTCTACTTCTCAACAGCAACGCGTCTTCTATTTATTGAGTGCCTCCGGTGGTCCCTGACACTTGATATCACCCCCAGTGGTCCGCACAAATCATTGCAATTCAAAGAAAAAGACGTAATGCTCAGGAGGTTGAAGACCTTGCCCAAGGGAATACGGCTACTAAATGGCTGATCTCTCTCAGTTATGCCTCAAAAAATGTTTCCTGCACACTCTCGACGCGCCAGCCTCACAGCCTCTTCTTCACTTGCCGCCTCCACACACCTCCAACCCTGCCTTTTTCCTTTCTCCTGTTCCCTCCCTGACCAACCTCGGCACCCCGCCACCAGGTTTGCATCAAGCAAAAGTAATATACCCTACAGCAGACTCTCTACCACTACCGAGTGATACAAAGGACTGGGATTCTGGACAGGGTTTACTCACATATCTTGCCCCTGTGCGCTCAGAAGTCCCAACCGGGTGGGAGATCCGACACTGGTCCCCGAGTCCCCAGCTCGCTGTGTGACCTTGGACAAGTAGTCACATCGCTGAACCTGGGTCCTATAACTGCGTGAGACTATTCTTTGGTGCTCACCGGTATGAATACAAACACAAGGTCCTTCTTTTCTCTCTCTATCCCCCTTCCCAAGTCGAGTTGGTCAAGCTCGCTTTTTCTTTCCACCAGGGCCATAGCCAGCTGCAGCCTTGTGGAGGAAGAAATCAGGTCCCAGCTGCTAAAGGTGTCCTCCCCACCGCCACCGTCGTCTTCACCCCCACCCCCGGGTGTGACCTGTCCTTCCGGGGCACACTAGTCCAGCGTCGCCCAGGGCTTCGGAGAGAGCGCCTCACGCTCCCGCTTCGCGGCGCCTGGTCCCTGCGGTCCCCACTCGCTGCGACGCTTTGGGAAGTGCGAGATGGAACTGGATCGAGAACGCAAATGCGAGGCAGGGCTGGTGACAGGTATGCGTGTGGGCGCCGGCCGGAGGATGTGTTGGGAGAAACTTTGGGGGAGTTGGTGGGGGAAAGGGGAGGTGTCAGAGAAAGCAGTGGGTCACTCTCTCACCCACTGACCACCAGTCTCTCTCCCTCTTCCTTGTCCCCATCTCACCTTCTTCCTCGGCTTCTGCCTCTCACCTCCCTCTCTTTCTTCTCCAAGCATCCTCCCTACGCGTCTGCACCCGCTCCTCCCTCGCACCCTCCCGCGCCTAAGCGGACCTCCTCGGGAGCCAGCTCGGTCCAGCCTCCCAGCGCAGTCACGTCCCAGAGCCTGTTCAGCTGAGCCGGCAGCATGTGGAACGCGACGCCCAGCGAAGAGCCGGGGTTCAACCTCACACTGGCCGACCTGGACTGGGATGCTTCCCCCGGCAACGACTCGCTGGGCGACGAGCTGCTGCAGCTCTTCCCCGCGCCGCTGCTGGCGGGCGTCACAGCCACCTGCGTGGCACTCTTCGTGGTGGGCATCGCTGGCAACCTGCTCACCATGCTGGTGGTGTCGCGCTTCCGCGAGCTGCGCACCACCACCAACCTCTACCTGTCCAGCATGGCCTTCTCCGATCTGCTCATCTTCCTCTGCATGCCCCTGGACCTCGTTCGCCTCTGGCAGTACCGGCCCTGGAACTTCGGCGACCTCCTCTGCAAACTCTTCCAATTCGTCAGTGAGAGCTGCACCTACGCCACGGTGCTCACCATCACAGCGCTGAGCGTCGAGCGCTACTTCGCCATCTGCTTCCCACTCCGGGCCAAGGTGGTGGTCACCAAGGGGCGGGTGAAGCTGGTCATCTTCGTCATCTGGGCCGTGGCCTTCTGCAGCGCCGGGCCCATCTTCGTGCTAGTCGGGGTGGAGCACGAGAACGGCACCGACCCTTGGGACACCAACGAGTGCCGCCCCACCGAGTTTGCGGTGCGCTCTGGACTGCTCACGGTCATGGTGTGGGTGTCCAGCATCTTCTTCTTCCTTCCTGTCTTCTGTCTCACGGTCCTCTACAGTCTCATCGGCAGGAAGCTGTGGCGGAGGAGGCGCGGCGATGCTGTCGTGGGTGCCTCGCTCAGGGACCAGAACCACAAGCAAACCGTGAAAATGCTGGGTGGGTCTCAGCGCGCGCTCAGGCTTTCTCTCGCGGGTCCTATCCTCTCCCTGTGCCTTCTCCCTTCTCTCTGAGTCTCCATCTCTATTTCCCCCTGAGTCGCTACCTCTTTCTTCAGTTTCTCTGGGCCTCTGTCTCTCTGCGTTTCTCTCAATTATTCTCTCCTCTTGCTTTCTTGAGTGATGTTTTTGATCTCTCAATCTTTCTCTCTGTCTCTGTCTCTCTCTCTCCTCCCCCTTTACTTTGTCAGTGTCTTTCTTACCGTCTCTATCTCTTTGTGTCTCTTTCTTCCTGTCTCTCCTTTCTCTCTTTCATGCAAAAATGTCCCATATTTGTATTTCCCTAAAATAAATTTTATATCAGCCCAGAAACTCCACTTTAAAAATCGAGATATCTTATAAAAGTCCATTGTGGTCTTTAAGCGTTAAAAGTGAGGACTGACTTCCTGCCTCAAGTAGGATTTGTGAATATCTAAGTTACATTAAGAAAAGCAGGGTTTGGATCTAGAAAGCGTTCAGCGGTAAATTCAACCAAAGACATGATCAATTTGGATAATCCTCTTAGAGATTATTCATTTTTCTTTCAATATTGTGATTTGTTTTCTGCCCTGCATTTTTTCAGATAATTGCATCAATTCTGTTTACCCTGCTGCTGTTCATACAGCTTTGTAAGGAAGTCAGTGACAAATCAGTGAAGTCTCATTTGTTTTTATGATTACCTGCCTCTTCAGGTAGGATAGACTAGGATAAGGTAAGGATAAACTAGATTAAACAAAGCTCCAACAGGAGGAAAGGAGACTTTGTGGAAACCAACAGAATTCACTACTTCCCCAAATGACCCTTCAGGAACATCTGGGCACAATGTCATAACTGGATTTGCTGAATGTTTATTGCACAAATTCAGCTTCTTTAAGTATATGTGTTTGGTACAAGTGAAGTAATAATAAATATGGTTACAGCCCAGCAAAATATTAACTCTACTTGCATTTTCAAAACCAAGGTCTGTATATTTTATTATTTAGATATTATAGTCAAGACTTCATACTTAATGGCATATTTTAAGGCTTCTTAGAAGCCATTCCAGGATGATTTCATATTTCCAATTTTACAGTTCCTGGATCCTCCATATTAAAGTGATAGAGTTTATTCAAGGAATGTCAAAGATTTTATTTTCTGGACCGGTGATTCTCGTGATATGACTCATAGGTTATAAACCTGCTAGTGTCCTCCAAGGGATCCTAAGCTCTCACCTACGAGAGTCACATTGTTACTGTGGCAGTTAAGTTGCTACTATACAACTTAGTTTTAAGGATAAGTTTAATAATTTCCTCCAATTTTATTTTCAAGCCATTAATTTCTTCATTGGTGTCTCAACACCAATGTTAACTTTCTTCTTCCTTGACAATTTGAAGGGGATCACTAAAGTGTTACAACGACTAAAAAATTATTTGTTATTATTTTTCCCTGATTTCTGAATTTAAAACAATCTAAACATTTAGACATCATTAAAAATTATCTTACATAGGCAAAATGAAGACTTGGATGGATGATAATTTATATGAGTTGGTTTAATAATAGCCTTACTTATGTCTATTGTAAGTGGCATAGAATCATTCATCTCAGTGATTCTTAATCCTAACTGTATATTCAATCCTCTGTGAAACTTAAAAAAAAAAAAGAGAAGATAAAACATATGTCCTGATCGCCCTCTTAGAGATTTAAATTGACTGAGTCTATACTACATCCAAGGAATCTGCATTGTTTTAAAAAGTGCCCCAGGAGACTCGGATACACAGCTATGGTTGAGTACAACCACTTTACCTCGTAAGTGTGTCTGTTGTGTCTAACACATAAAAACTGCTGGACTATTGTGAATAAATGGTCTAGTCAGTTGAGTCAATGTGTCAACTCAGTACAAAATCACTCAGATAGTTGTTAAATAGAAATGACTGGGGAGCTCAGTAAAAATTGTTGAACTGTTGGTCCAGACAGACTGAATCTTTGTTAAAATGTTGGAACAGGAAGAGCAGGACACAATGTTTCTCTGAAGTCAATGGTCATAGACCATGAAACAAAAACAAAGTCTTAAAAATAGAATGTGATTTGCTGTGACATTTCTTGAGCTGACTATCTCTCTCCCATTGTCCTTTTAGCTGTAGTGGTGTTTGCCTTCATCCTCTGCTGGCTCCCCTTCCACGTAGGGCGATATTTATTTTCCAAATCCTTTGAGCCTGGCTCCTTGGAGATTGCTCAGATCAGCCAGTACTGCAACCTCGTGTCCTTTGTCCTCTTCTACCTCAGTGCTGCCATCAACCCCATTCTGTACAACATCATGTCCAAGAAGTACCGGGTGGCAGTGTTCAGACTTCTGGGATTCGAACCCTTCTCCCAGAGAAAGCTCTCCACTCTGAAAGATGAAAGTTCTCGGGCCTGGACAGAATCTAGTATTAATACATGACCTAGCACATTGCGAGTACAGTCACCGCTTATTACTCTAAACCGGAAGACATAGCACAGCAGAACTTGGGAGGAAGCTGAAGGTTAATTTTGGAATTAGGAACACATAGATCCAGAAACATCTGGGAGGGAAAAAAGATATCATTTGTAGGGTGTGAGCAGTTTGATTTGATCGCACAATTATCAGTGCTCTCATACACTATTTCTGCATATTCACTGTCTATGATTTTGCATTCTGCTGCGGGTGCTGGTGAGGGCTTTGCAATTCAGAGAAAGGAGGAAGAGCAGAGTGAGCAATTAGGGCACTTCTTGGTAGGTAAATACAAATTTGCTTTGCTTTTTCATAATGATCAAAATTATTTGGTTAAAAGAATGACATTACAATACAAAATTTAAAATGTAACTTTTAAAAACTAGCTATTTTCATAAAGCTCTAGAGCAGTGCTATCCAAGAGAAATATAACATGAGGCACGTGAGCAATCAGTACAAAAATTATTAAAAAGGAATTTACATTCTTTTTTTTCACACTAAGTCTTTGAAATCTGGCATGCTTTTTACACTTACAGAAACCCTCAATTTGGACACTAAGTTTTCATTGGTAATATTTGATGTATTTAGATTTCATAAAATTTACAGATAAAAAGTAGATTCAACAATCTAAGTTGTCTAAGCACACTTAAAAGTTTTCCAGTAACTGAAACAACGGTAAACCTTTAAACTTAAAATTAATTAAAGTTAAAAATTCAGTTCTTCAGTTGCACTAGTCACATTTCAAGTATCCAGTAGCTCGAGGTTACCACTCAGAACAGTACAGCTCTAGAGTATATACAAAACTTATCATTCACCTTATATGAAATGTTTAAAAATAAATACTGTTTCCCTAAAATGTTTTTATAGTGATGTTCACACAGCAGAATTTTAGAGTGATGAATACTAAAAATCACACCTAAATGTCCTGTTCTGTATGCTCAGAAGAGAATGAATATGAAATGTGTAACATACATTTTTAAATTAAGTTGAGTTGCATGTGTTAATATTCAGGAAATGAAACTTTTTAAAACAATTATGGGTAATCACAAACTGCCTCATATGGCTTAACAAAAATTTTGAAGTCAATTATAAGGCTTCGATTTGTGAATAAGGGAACAATTTGTAACGTGCTCTGGCAAGATTACAAGAAAGTTAATGAATATAGAAATTTTTCAAGTGATGAAGGCAGGCTTATGTGAAAAACTGAGAATCCCCTAAATGCTACTGCTTATTGATATTAAAAACTTTCAAAAATCTTATAGCCATTTATTTTTAAATGTCTATGCTGTGTCCTGTCTCCAAATTAGTTTTGCTGCTTATATCCCATTGCTTATCTGATAGATATGATTACTTGGACTTCCAGACCCTCTCTTAATTCTAATTATGAATGAATAGACATCTTCAACTAAATATTATACATTTGGTTATAAGTATATAATTTTCATTTATATTGACATTGCTTCCTATACAGTCAACTCTTTGCATACTAAAGGTATTAACCCAAAAATAACTTTTTCATAATCCTGTGCAATACTTAGTCATATAAGCAGTTCCTTCATGAAGTTATTGGTTCACAACTATGGAATGGATGGAACCATTTAGGGAAATTCCTGCCATGACTGTTTTTTCCTTCATCAAAAAGAAAGATAATCATGATGAAATAATCGATTGATTATTTAGTTTGGAAACATCCAAACACAATCATAATTAGAATCATTTCTCTAGAAAAATATTTCTGAGATTCGTTCTGACACTAAAACTGCACCACCAATGTGGTCTAAATACAGAACACTAGCAAGCTGATTATGTAGTTAATTCCTAAGAGTGCATCAATATTAAAAAAAAAAAAACACTGACCCATTTAAGTTCATGGGATACTAATTAGGGCATTAAACATTATTGTCCCGGAGAGGGCCCAATAAATCCAAAAGAGGTAGTTCAGCTTCCTGAAGCCTTAGAATTTTTGTCTACAGATACATCCTACTTGAGAGGAAACAAACAAGAAAACCTTGACCTCCATCACACAGCTGATTGCTTTGGGGGAAAACAATCCCAACTTCTAATTCATTGCTTAGCCTCCTCTCTTCTGGGTTTATGTCTAGTCTTGGCCTAATTCACCTCCAGGGAGTAGTTAATGTAGTAGGGACCACCATTGTCCTTCAGTGGTATTAATCTGGAAACTCAGAGAATATGTTTAGAGGAAGAGATCTTTAATTTGTCCTCTTATACCATTGCCTTTTTATTGTTTGTAACTTCTTTATTTTATCATACTCCTTAAATCATTTAAGACTCAGGGAAAAGAGGAACTTAACTGAGGAGTATTGTTTGTAAAAGTCCATCATTTCATAAGCATTTAGTATGTGCCTGACATGTTCTAAACTCTAACAATTAATAAGCCAAGGATTTTATCCTTAAGGAGCTCACAATCACTTGTGTGTTTTGTTGCAGCAGGCAACTGATAACTTCTTTAAATTGTGAAATAAACATCTCCGGTTGACACTGGATCAAGGGGCTGGCTGTTCATCCCATTGTGTTGCTGTGTATTTGGCTCAAAATAAATTCAAGATGGGCTGTTCCTCCAACAACTGGTCAATTCTGTAGACACAGTTAATGTGTCTGCTAGCAGTAATTACACTCAACACATTCTTCATTAATGTAGGGAAAGTAAAGTGATCTTTTTTTACTCTGTGTTTCCATTTTCCTGGTTATCGAGCAATGAGGTGTTTGTCACCACACCTTACACTGTGGCACATAATCAAGTGTTGGATCATTTTCATTACAGGGAGTAACTGTTGTATAAGTAAGAACTTTTAAATGATTGCTTTAAACATTCATTGCCATGAGTTACTCAAAATTAGAAGTTTCACTGTAATGAGATTTAGAAACACCTCTAGTGCCCGGCCACACCTTGAAAATCATTTTATAGTAAACTTTTTATTGCAGTGCATGTTGTTGTGATGCGATTTGACTTGAATTTCCACTTTTTCATGCCAATACTTTTATTAAGAATCTCATATCATTACAAGCATTTTATAATTTTTAGTTCCACACTGGCAGTTTTAACTTTTTTTTCTATTTTTTTATTTACTCATATACTTGAATTATGCTGTTAAAAAAAACTGTGAGATTTTTTGCAAGTTTGGTGCCTGAAAGACTCTCCTGTCTTTTAAAAAGTAGTATGTATATCTTTAAAACATGACATACATATTTACGTGTCAAAATTTCTTGTCACAATGAGTGAATAGAGCTTTCTGCTTTCACAAACACTGAATCTCTTGTAAATAATGTCATTAAAGGATAAAGATAATGTCATTAACAGACAAACCATGTCTAATATAGTTCATTAGCTAATGATTAGCCTATTTTTTTGGCAATTTAAATTGCAACACCAGCCAGAATATATACGATTGTAACTTAACTGGGTGATTAGTGACCGATGTTAATTCAGTGAATTCACAACATAAATATTTTTTATCTAGAGAATGAACGTCTGGTCGAAATCAGTAGAAAAGAATGTGCTAGTGATAGATGCTGTTTTAAGCTAACATCACTTATTTATTCACATTAAATGAATTCAATCATGTTAGTCTTGACAAGAATCTGAGTTTGAAGCAGGTGAGGGGGAAAGTTTGGATGAGGCTTGTTTTTGTATTTTCTCTTTTGAACTCCAACTTGCAGGATGCTAGAGGCTAGCTTTTTGTTGACAGAATTGTCACCATCCTTAAGCAAAAAAGGCTGCCATGTCTATTCCCCTCCCAACTATCTGGATATTTGCTGGAATTCCAATTAATATTTTATGCTATGACACAGGATATACATTTGCTCAAGGAACTAGCAACTACACTCAAAGCTGGCAAGCCAATAAATCTCTCAAAAATCATGCCTCGTGTAAACGTTCAGGAAGTTCCACCAAAATGGGTACGACTATTCTTTCCAGAATTCCTCTCGCCCCCAGCCACAGAGAAAGCTTTGAAGAAGAATGGTTTGAAAGATTTTTTGTGTGTTTAACATCTTAAGTCCAAAACATTTCTCTGCTCAAACAACAAAAACATTTATCTTTTTCACTTTTACCACTATAGGTTTAGTATACTAGAAAACACTTGTCTCTACTAAAAAATACAAAAATTAGCCGGGCATGGTGGCGGGTGGCTTTAATCCCAGCTACTCAGGAGGCTGAGGCAGGAGAATCGCTTGAACCCAGGAGGCGGAGCTTGCAGTGAGCCAAGATCACACCACTGCACTCCAGCCTGGGTGACAGAGCAAGACTCTGTCTCAAAAAAAAAAAAAAAAAAAGGAAGGAAAAAGAAAAACACTTGTTCGTATATATATGTCCAAACAGCCTAGTCCCCTGTTTCACTGATATATGAGGTATTCCATATCTGCATAGAATTTCATACTTGGTTGATTTGTCATAGATGTTACTGATGATGTTTTGATTTGCAATTCTTTTTCTTTAGGGATTTTTCTGAATGTCAATGAAGAGTTTACGATAGCTTTCATGTACCTGTTGTATGCAACTACACATAGGTATTCCTTCCTTTGAGTGTTCTCAACCAAACAATTGCCTAATAAATGTATTTTTAAAGCATATGGCTGACTTCTTCCACTTAGTTACAAAACTTGGTGTCTGGAATATTTTACCTCTACTCTTGTCTCAGATTTAGTTCTATTTTTTCCTTTTAATTCCAGAAATATGTATTTTGCACCTATGAGGAGGTGTTTGTTGTAGTAAATTTTATTTCCCCAAAGGCTCCAATATTTAATAATGAGTTAAACAATTCTTGTAAGAATTAAGAAGAGTGGGAGGCTAAGGTGGGTGGATCACGAGGTCAGGAGATCGAGACCATCCTGGCTAACATGGTGAAACCCCATCTCTACTAAAAGTACAAAAAATTAGCTGGGTGTGCTGGTGTGCTCCCGTAGTCCCAGCTACTTGGGAGGCTGAGGCAGGAGAAACACTTGAACCCAGGAGGCAGAGGTTGCAGTGAGCTGAGATCGTGCCACTGCACTCCAGCCTGGGTGACAGAGCAGGACTCTGTCTCAAAAAAAAAAAAAAAGAATTAAGAAGAGTAAAGGACCCTGTGATGGACTGTGATCCCACGCTCTCATACCTCTCTGACCCTTCCAGCCTGTCACTTCAGAGCCAATATGCCCTTCCTGGTGTTGCACTAATATTTGATCCAAAGACCATGCATGAGCTCTTTGGGTCAGGGAAAGGATGTCTGTTCGCCTTGGACTCAGTAGCTACTCACTGAATGTTGGACAAATGAAGGTTTAAAGACTGGATTATGTGTCACCTGGTCATTAGCTTCCAGACACATGGATTCCAGGGGTTAATCAAATTTAAGCCTAAAATTGGAAGCGGGCAATTTTATTTGCCAACTAGGGGACTTTAAAATACTCTACCACCAAGTGTCACCATCATTTCAACTTAAAAGAACATAAACTAAGAAAAAAATTGTAAAGGATGTAATCTCAGAATAAAGGATAGTCACAGTACAAAAATTCAATGTATTCTACATTACACAAAATTATACATGTATGCTGTTTTGAGTTAGTTATGATTTAAAAATAGCACCTAAATTAAAATGTCTGAGAAATACTTGCCGATAATTAGTAATACATTAAAACAATCCAAGTAAGCAAATCATGGGATTGGTTTTTATAGATCCACTGAGTCCTTTTCCAATATCTTTTGGCACCTGCTATCCACCTCTCCCTTAATTCAATGCCAGCCAGGGCCCATCCCGTTTTTTCAGGCTCGTCCCCTTAGTAGACCCTAGACCCAACTCTAAGGACAAGGGAAGAGCAGGCAGGAGGCCCTCTTAGCAGGTCTCACATTCTGGGGTCATCTACAAAGGCTGATTGCCCCTTGCCTCTGGACTCATAGTTCATCATCGGTTCCTGATTTCATAACCAGCTTCCTTAAGGGGCCATCAAATTAGTTATAAATCAATACAAACCTTCTGAAGAATAGTTTGACTGTATGTATAAAATTCTTCCAAAGTTTACCCTTTGATACAGTAATTTTATATTGAGACATGATTACGGAGAAACACCATCTATAATGGTGTTCCTTGCATCTGATTTGTAATTGTGGAAACCTGAAAAGCCCAAATGTCTGAGAATGGGGAATTTGTTAGATAAATTACAGTAATGATAATCGTTAACATTTACATGACATTGTGCTTAATGCTTTCAGTTCATTTTCTCATACAATCTTCCCAGCATACCTAGGAAGAGGTTGTGTTGTTATGCCTGTGGGTGTGTGGAGTGGGGGGCTGGGAGTCATAGAGACAAGAGAAGTTTTGTCACATAAGATAGGAAATGGTAGGGCTAAAATTTGGTCCCAAATGGGTTAGATTCTAGTTAGGGTCTTGTGTCCTCATTTTACCCATGCAAACATTAAAATGATATTGTAAACATTAAAAATGTTATTGAAAAAGAATTGTAACAACGTGGGTAAAATGTTTACCCAATATTAGTAAAGGAAAACATATATTGTCCCATCTTTTAAAAAAAAATGCACTTTCCCAGAGCAAAGAGGTTGAAAAGATATAGCATACTAAAGTATTAACAGTGTTTCTCTGGTTGGTTGAAATGTTTTCTTGTTTCTATTTTCCATGGTTTCCAACATTTCTACAAAGAATGTGTATTATCCTTGCGATAATGGAAAGTGGCAGAATGAGTTATTACAAGACAGCGACTGGCTCTCTCCTGGCCCTGCTCCAGATCCTGCTCTCTGCTCTCAGCCTCTAACTGTATCTGGGACCTCGGGTTTGCCTGGCTTCTGTGAGGACCGTGGTCCTCAGGGAGACAGCTTCCATGTCCAGCCCTAACTCTGAGCTCTGGGCCTCTGCAGGTCCTTGCTAGGACATTTGCTCTTCCCTGGCAGTGACAGTTTCAGGGAGGTGGTAGTGGGAGAGCAAAGCCAGCCAGCATCAGGCCTATATTCCAATTCTGCTGCTATAACTATGTGGCTTTGGCAAGTTTCTTAACCTCCATCCATATAAAGTACCAGACACTTAGTAGGTGCTCATTAAATGGCCACAGTGATCCTTTGGTTACTTAGCAAAGTATAAAGTGGCCCCATTTTGTGCCCCCATTTCCTAGGTACTCTGTTGCCTAGAATACTTCTTCAGAATTCTCTATCTTCCCCTGACCCAACTGGGAAGGTCTTGCAGCAACTTCATTGATCATTTACAGAATTTTACAGAGGCTCATAAAAGCAGCTGCAAATTTGGCAAAGTTTAGTAATTACTCTGCCTGTAGTGCTGACAAGGCACTGTCAGGTTTTCCCCAAATGCAGCAGATATACTTTGTGAGCCCTTGGCTCCTCTCCCAGGGGGCATTTGTCCCTCTATTTGTGGAATAAAAAATAATTTCAGGCTCAGTCAACAGAAGGTGGAAGAAGATGTAGGTAGGAGGTAAAGGGGGAGAGCCGGGAGAATCTTCTGGGTTCCTGAAAGTATACCTCTATTCATGGTCACTTGTTCACTCTCTGGACCTTTATCACCAGAATCTTTATCGACTGATTTTTTTCTTTCAGGATTTATGCTCCAAGAACAAAACACATGAAGTATAGTATGCATAGACTTTGCAGCCAAACAATTATAGAATTTACTCCTGGCTTCACCATCTAGCAGCCATGTGACAATGGGCAATTACTCAACATTAACCTCTCTAGGTCTCAGCTGATTTTGTAGTACAATCGGAATCATAAGACTACCTGCTTTGTGTGCTTGTTGACAGGATCCCATGACACAGAATATGTGAAGGGACAGTGTCTGGTACACAGGAGAGCCCAACACATCCTTTTTTTATTACTATATTTTGTTAGGATGTTTACCATCTGTGATGAGTTCCTTTAAAGTAGAGCAAGAACCTAAAACGTGTGAAGAAATCTGAATGCAGAATCCTACAGTTTTAGGGTCCCCTTCCCACCCCAATTTTGACAGTAGTTTCACCCACATCTACTTTAACGAGCATTTTAGTCACTTGCCTTTCTTAAGACTTTCCAAGGAATTCAATATAGTTTTCAGAGAAAGAGCAGTTTTCTTTTTTGCAATCACATTTTATCAGTTTACTATAAATTAGTACATATTTTTTTTTTAAGACAGAATCTAGCTCCTGTTGCCCAGGGCTGAAGTGCAATGGTGCAATCTCAGCTCACTGCAACCTCCGCCTTCTGGGTTCAGCCTCCTGAGTAGCTGGGATTACAGGCATGCCCCACCACACACCCAGCTAATTTTGTATTTTTAGTAGAGACAGGGTTTCTCCATGTGGGTCAGGCTGGTCTCGAACTCCTGACCTCAGGTGATCTGTCCACCTTGGCCTCCCAAAGTGCTGGGATTACAGGCATGAGCCACTGCACCCAGCCCATAATTTTTAACTTGGCTGGTAAATCAGAAGTGTGGAGGTGTGCAACAGTGTGGCTTCCTAGCTCCCAGCACATTCAGTGTGGCCCAAACATTAGTCACCATCCTTGAGAGAGTGAATGGAGCACATTGGATACCAACAATTCTAGATAAGAACTCTTCTAATCTCTATGTAAAAGCATTTAGAATATAGAGATTCACTGGTTCTCTTCAAAGAGAATGAATCCAAGTCTATAACGCTTTAGAGACTGTCCAGGGTCTGAGGAATTTCATTTAGGGAGTTTCCTCCAGTGGGTCAACCCCTATCAATTGGTAGTGGCTCCCAAGGACACTGAGCTGTGTTGGGTTCTTGGTAGGGTAACAATGTATCCCCTTTGTCTGTAATAGTACTGGTTATTCCTGCGGTCGGGCATCCCATCTAGTTTGCATTTGTCCTGGATTTTTTCATTTTTTAAAAGATATATCATTAATATTTGCATTAAAGTAAACTGAGGTGAGTTTGCTGGATCTCCATTTGGTTATATCCATCTTCTGCCATGGTCTTGTCTAGCAGCATGTGAGGTCTGTGTTCAGGAAACAGAGTTCTCTCCTTAGCGCACAGTAAATCTGAAAGACGACCAGCTTTAATCTTTCTCTTTATTTCCAACACTTTCCTGGGGCAATTTAACTAAGCCCTCCTTTTCAAAGAAAGCATGCAAAAACACTTGCTAAGAAAACAAAGTGGGCGGTGGCACATGCTGCTAGGGAATGTCAAGTTTTCTGTCTTAGGTGGTATTGATGGGAGAAATATTTGGCGGCTATTTATTGTCTTCTGCGGTTCTGCTATGGCTCTTACTGCAATCTTCAAGATGCATGAAGTCAGTAGGGTCGGTGGAAAATGGAAAAATATTATAGGCTGGGCACGGTGGCTCACGCCTGTAATCCCAGCACTTTGGGAGGCCAAGGTGGGCAAATCACTTGAGGTCAGGAGTTCGAGACCAGCTTGGCCAACATAGTGAAAACTTGTCTCTACTAAAAGTACAAAAATTAGGCAGGCGTGGTGGTGGGCACCTGTAATCCCAGATACTCAGAAGGCTGAGGCAGGAGAATCACTTGAACCCGGGAGACAGAGGTTGCAGTGAGCCCAGATCGCGCCACTGCACTCCAGCCTGATGACAGAGCGAGACCCCGTCTCAAAAACAGCAACAACAGCAAAACCTTACAGATTATGTACATATGCAATAAGCGCAGGAAATAAAGGTTGAGTAGCTCTCCTCTAGAGGATAATCTAAACACTTTTGTTAAATGGTAACAACCTTGAATTTTGCTATAAATCTACTGAAGTTACTAATTATTTCAATAAAAACTATGTCCGGATATAACAATTTAACACATGGGACAGCAGAAGGCACATTTAAGTTTCAGTACGCAAAGCAGGTTTTTCCATTTAAATGAAACAATTGTTCTTTCAAATTAGTTGTACTCACTTTGGAGTCTATAGTTTCTCACACACGCACAAAAAGTTCATGACAGTTGTTATTGTTTTGGCTCCATTGTCAGAAGACAATCTTGGCACACAGTTGAATGAGGCCAATTTTATACCAATGCGATCACATGCTTTAAATAAAAGAATCAGCTAATCTCACTAATGGATTGAGTTTTTCATCCAATTAATGGAATTGAAATAAAGCTTTTGGAAATCCTTGTTTAGTGAAATATTTTGCATTATTGAGAATGTAACTGAAATTTTTCTTAAAAGATCTCCATTGATGTTAAATGTATTTATTTTGGGGCGACAATACAAATAAAATTTTGGAGGGACATAGTGTCATGATAAAAGCAATGTTCTTACTAAATTATGAATTCTATAAAGCAGACATCCAAGCATGGAATTGTGGTACCTGTATAACTCATAATTCACCCGAAGAAGTTGTGATATACTGTCAATAAAAAAAAAAGAATTGAGCCAGAATAATCCCAGCACTTTGGGAGGTCAAAGCAGGCTGATCACCTGAGGTCAGGAGTTCGAGACTAGCCTGACCAACATGGTGAAACCCCATCTCTACTAAAAATACAGAAATTAGCCAGGTGTTGTGGTGCACACCTGTAATCCCAGCTACTCAGTAGGCTGAGACAGGAGAATCGCTTGAACCCAGGAGGTGGAGGTTGCAGTGAGATGAGATCACGCCACTGCACACTCCAGCCTAGGCAACAGCAAGACTTTGTTAAAAGAAGAAGAAGATGAAGAAGAAGAAGAAGAATTGTCAAAATTCACAAAAATTACACAGCTATGGCTTGAGTTTGTCCCCACCAAAACTCAGGTTGAAATTTGATCCCCTATGTGGCAGTGTTGGGAGGTGAGGCCTAGTGGGAGGTGTTTGGGCCACGCGGTAGGATCCCTCATGAATGGCTTGATGCCATTCTTACTGTAGTGAATGAGTTCTTGCTGTAGTAAGACTGATATAGTTCGGCTCTGGGTCCCCACCCAAAACTCATCTTGTAGCTCCCATAATTCCCATGTGTGGTGGGAGGAACCTGGTGGGATATAACTGAATCATGGAGGCAGGTCTTTTTCATGCTATTCTTGTGATAGTGAATAAGTCTCACAAGATCTGATGGTTTTAAAAATGGGACTTTCCCTGCACAAACTCATTCTCTTTGCCTGCCACCATCCATGTAAGATGTGACTTGTTCCTCCTTGCCATCCACCATGATTGTGAGGGACCCCCAGCCACGTGGAACTAAAAGTCCATTAAAACCCCTTTGTCTTCCCAGTCTCGGGTATGTCTTTATCAGCAGTGTGAAAACAGATTAATAAGGTAAATTAGTACCAGTAGAGTGGGGCACCACTGAAAATATACCCAAAAATGTGGAAGTGACTTTGGAACTGGGTAACAGGCAGAGATTGGAACAGTTTTGAGGGCTCAGAAGAAGATAGGAAAGTGTGAGACAGTTTGGAATTTCCTAGAGATTTGTTGAATGGCTTTGCCAAAAATGCTGATAGTGATATGGACAATAGAGACCAGACTGAGGTGGTCTTAGATGGAAATGAGAAACTTGTTGGGAACTACAGCAAAAGTGACTCTTGTTACATTTTAGCAAAGAGACTGGCAGCATTTTGCCCCTGCCCTAGAGATCTGCGGGACTTTGAACTTCAGAGAGATGATTTTAGGGTATCTGGCAGAAGAAATCTCTAAGCAGCAAAGCATTCAAGAGGTGACTTGGGAGTTGTTAAAGGCATTCAGTTTTATAAGGGAAGCAGAGCATAAAAGTAAAAAATTTTTAGCCGGACAATGCAATAGAGAAGAAAATCCCATGTTCTGAGGAGAAATTCAAGCCAGCTGCAGAAATTTGCATAAGTAAAAAGGAACCAAATGTTAATCCCCAAGACAATGAGAAACATGTTTCCAGGGCATGTCAGAGGTCTTCACAACAGCCCCTCCCATGACAGGCCCAGAAGTTTAGGAGGAAAAAATTGTTTTGTGGGCCAGGCCCAGGGTCCCTCTGCTGTATGCAGTCTAGGAAGTTGGCGCCCTGCATCCCAGTTGCTCCAGCCATGACTAAAAGGGGCCAAGGTATAGCTCAGGCTGTTGCTTCAGAGTGTGGAAGCCTCAAGCCTTGGCAGCTTCCATGTGGTGTTGAGCCTGTGGGTGCACAGAAGTCAAGAATTAAGGTTTGGGAACCTCTGCCTAGATTTCAGAAGTTGTATGGAAATGCCTGGATGTCCAAGCAGAAGTTTGCTGCAGGGTGGGGCCCTCATGCAGAACCTCTGCTAGGGCAGTGCAGAAGGGAAATATGGGGTCAGAGCCCCCACACAGAGTCCCTACTAGGGCACTGTCTAGTGGAGCTGTGAGAAGAGGGCCACTGTCCTCTAGAACCCAGAATGGTAGATCTACTGATAGCTTGCACTGTGTGCCCAGAAAACCTGCAGACACTCAACACCAGCTCATGAAATCAGCCAGGAGGGAGGCTGTACCCAGCAAAGCCACAGGGGCAGAGCTTCCCAAGACCATGGGAACCCACCTCTTGCATCAGCATGACCTGGATGTGAGACATGGAATCAAAGGAGATCATGTGGGAGCTTTAAAATTTTACTGCCCTGCTGGATTTTGGACTTGCATGGGGCCCATAGCCCCTTTGTTTTGGTCAATCTCTCCCATTTGGAACACAGCTCTATTTACCCAAAGCCTGTACCCCCATTGTATCTAGGAAGTAACTAACTTGCTTTTGATTTTACAGGCTCATAGGTGCATAGGTGGAAGGCACTTGCCTTGTCTCAGATGAGACCTTGGACTGTGAACTTTTGAGTTAATGCTGAAATGAGTTAAGGCTTTGGGGGACTGTTGGGAAGACATGACTGGTTTTGAAATGTGAAGACATGAGATTTGAGAGGGGCCAGGGCAGAATGATACAGTTTGGCTCTGTGTCCCTTCCCAAATCTCATCTTGTAGCTCCTATAATTCCCACATGTTGTGGGGGGAACCTGATGGGATATAACTGAATCATGGGGGCAGGTCTTTCCCATGTTATTCTCGTGATAGTCAATAAGTCTCATGAGATCTGATGGTTTTAAAAACGGGGAGTTTTCCTCCACAAGCTCATTCTCTTTGCCTGCTGCCATCCATGACTTGCTCCTTCTTGCCTTCTGCCATGATTGTGAGGCCTCCCCAGCCATGTGGAACTGTAAGTCCATTAAAACCCCTTTGTCTTCCCAGTCTTGGGTATGTCCTAATCAGCAGCAGCATGAAAACGGACTAATACAAAGACTGAATTAGTTCTTGTAGGAATTGATTAGTCCCTGGGAGAGCAAGCAGACTGCCCCCTCAAGTCCTGTTTCTTTGCATGTGTCTGCTTCCTCTTTGGCCTTCGTCATCATGTTATGATGCAGCAATGAAAACCCTCACCAGAAGCCAGGGCTATGCCCTCGAACTTCCCAGACTGTATACCATAGCTAGACAGATTTCTTTCTTTATAAATTCTCCAGCCTCAAGTATTCACTTATGGCAACAGAAAATGTACCAAGACATACACAAGCACAGAGTAATGAAACAAAAAATAAAATGTTTCAGAATGGTAGTACTCACTTTCTTTTTGCTACTCATCACTAATCAGATTTCAAAAATGCTTGTTTATTAAAATAAGTACTTTGTAATTTCTTAGTGTCCTAAAATGGGATTGTAAGTGAGTTTTCTAATGTTATTGTCTTTTTCTTAAAAGCAGTTGAGGCTGGGCATGGTGGCTCACACCTGTAATCCCAGCACTTTGGGAGGCTGAGGCAGGGGGATCATGAGGCCAGGAGATCAAGACCATCCTGGCTAACATGGTGATACCCCATCTCTATGAAAAATACAAAAACAAAATTAGCTGGGCATGGTGGCAGGCGCCTGTAGTTCCAGCTACTTGGGAGGCTGAGGCAGGAGAATGGCATGAACCCAGGAGGCGGAGCTTGCAGTGAGCTGAGATCACTTCACTGCACTCCAGCCTGGGCAACAGAGTGAGACTCCGTCTCAAAAAAGAAAAAGAAAAAAAAAAAAGCAGTTGAAATCTTTTATCAGAGCAGTCAACAAATGGAGTACCATAAAACCCTTAAAACCCAAAACTTTTAGTATTTGAAGCTCTTAGAAATGTACAAACTTATGAAAAACAAAGCTTGCAACAGGAAAACATTAAAAATACATCTGTACAAACAAGGAGAAACTGAATGAATTACATTTGAAGACTCAAAATCTACACTGATTCAATTTTGAAATTCTATAATTGGTATTTAAGATATCTGAAAATTGGGTTGAAATTTTTGGTGGAATAAAGCTGAGAAGGCTTTTTTTTTTTTTTTTTTTTTTTTAATGGAGTCTCGCTCTGTAGCCCAGGCTGGAGTGTAGTGGCGTGATCTCGGCTCACTGCAAGCTCCACCTCCCGGGCTCATGCCATTCTCCTGCCTCAGCCTTCTAAGTAGCTTGGACTACAGGTGCCCACCACCACACCTGGCTGATTTTGTTTTTGCACTTTTAGTAGGGACGGGATTTCACCATGTTAGCCAGGATGGTCTCGATCTCCTGACCTTGTGATCCTCCCTCCTCAGCCTCCCAAAGTGTTGGGATTACAGGTGTGAGCCACCATGCTCAGCCGAAGGCCTATTATTTTCTAAGATCTAAATGTGGTAAAATATTCAAAAGAATCATAGATAACTTATTTGACAAGTTTTGTCTTATAAAAATATTTGTTAAATAAAAGTCTCTAAAAAGCGACAAAGTGACAGAATCTCTAAAAATATTTGAGCTGAAGTTAAACATTTCAATATTACAAAACAGAAAATAATATCCTCCTTTTCTCAGCATTTGTTCTGAGCCTACTAGAAAGAGTAATAAAAAGTGTTAAGAATTTCAAATTTATTAACTGTAAATATAGAAAATGGTTGCAAGTAATTTTACTAAAAATGAAGATTAAAGTGTATCAAAAAAGCATTCATCATAGAAATACCAGTGATACAGTATTGCAGATAGATATGGCCACATAAATGATTAAAGTACGTAAATACATGCCGAGAATAATTTTCTTATTTATATTATTTTTAAAAATTCAGAATATCAATATAAAGATATTTCTTTGTTTTGATTTCATGTAGCAGTGTTGTTAGGGGGAGGCCCTAAAGGAAGATTTTCCCAAAGGTCTTCCACAACACTGTTGTTATAAGGCAAAGATTTCCATTCAGTCTTGGGAGCCAAGAGCAAGAATTGGATATCAGATAAATGTCAATGTCACCTGAATTCTGTGTTTTCAATGGCTGTGTGACCCTTCTTTATTAGTGTCTTGCTTCCTCTATCTTTTCTATATCTGTAGCTCCAAAAGAGCTTCAAGATGTGTAGCACTGATAGGTAAAAAGAGAGGAGAGGGAGAGACTAACCATTTCCCTTGGAACCTGTAACATCTACATGGGGAACCAGTGCTGTGGCACAGGCAACCCTCCTGAAGGAAATAAACCTTGTTAAGATGCAGTTTCGTAAGGAAGACTGCTTTCCAGCTGGGCTCACTCTAAGCACTGGACCCTTGACTTGAAAGGAAGGGTCTGCAGTATTGGTCTTCTCAATTTCCAGGCTCTTTACCCCTTCTCCAGTTCAGCCACGCATGCCTAAGGTTTTACACTGATCCATTGTCACCAGGAACTTCTCCTCCTCTGAAATCTTGCACTTAAACATCCCATACTGTGACCACAATCTTCTGTCATTCCAGGGCTCTCAGCTGTTACTCCCTCCACACAGAATTTCTCACAGTTCTGGAGACTGGAAAGTCCAAGATCAAGGCCAATTTAATGTCTGGTGAGGGCTTGCTTTTTGGCTCATAGGTGGTGCCTTCTTGCTGTGTTCTCACATGGTGGAAGAGACAAGCTAACTCCCTGGGTTCTTTTAGGAGGACACTAATCCCAATCATGAGGACTTTGCCCTCAAGGCTTAATGACCTCCCAAAGGCTCCATCTCCTAATACCTTCTACTTGGGGGTTAGGACTTTAACACATAAATGGGGGTGGGCACAAACATTCGTATCACAGCAGCTCTGTTTCTTACTCTTCACAGAATCTATTCCAAACCTTCTCCATTTTCCACAAGCCACACCAGTCCCTCATCAGATATCCATACATGTTACTTCGAATAGGGAATAAGAAGCTGCTCATTGAGAATTCTCTTGCCTCATTGTCACCACATGGAAAAGGTCCTCTGGAGTCGCACACGCCCTTTGCTCCTCTGCTCATGTCACAGCAGGAGCAGTGTCTGTCCTCCCAAAGACATCCTCTCCATCAATGCACTGCTTCTTTTCTCCTCCCACCTCCTATGATTATCCCGTCTCCCCTGAAGCTTCATCCTTCCCCTCTCTGCTGGCATCTACCATCAGTGTTTAAGCCTGTTCAAGATTTCCTGTCATAAAAAGACTTTGCTTAATCCCTTCTATGGATTGAATTTTGACATCCCTCTGCTAAATTCATATGTTGAAACCTAAACCCTAATATGATGATATTCGGAGATGGGACCTTTGGCAGGTAACTAGGTTTAGATGAAGTCATGAGAGTGGGGTCCTCATAACGGGATTGCTGTCCTTAAAAGAAGAGGAAGAGACCAGAACTCACCCACCCTCCACCAAATGAGGACAAAGTGGGAAGGCAGCTGTCTGCAAGCCAGAAAGAGAGCACTCACCAGACGCCAACCATGCTGGCACCTGGAGCTGGGACTTCCAGCCTCCAGAACTGTGAGAAATGCGTATCACTTGTTTAAGCCACACAGTCTGTGGTATTTTGTGATGGCAGCCTGAGCTGGTTAAGACACTTCCACAGTGCCCTCCAGCTCCTATCCTATCTCTCTCCTCCCCTTTACAGCCAAACTGGTTGAAATATACAGTATCCACTTTCTCTCACTCCACTCATTATTAACTTACTGACATTGTACAATGAGAATAGCACTGAAAAAAAAAAGGTTTAAAAAGATCACACATGGCAGCACTATGCTGGGACCAAGTTGATTTGTCCAATGGGGAAAACTCATGTTGAACAAATAATTGCCCAATAATTATTTAACTGTAGGTGAGTTATGTGCTATGGTAGAGAAGCTCTAGGTAGATGCTGTGGGAGCCTCTTTTACATTTACCCAGGCTGGTCTGGGGCATGACACTGAGGAGGGCACCCCTGGGGTAGTGACATTTATACCATAATTTAAAGGATAAGTGGCAGCTGACCGGATTGCTGAAGGGAGGAGTACGATTCCAGGCATAAAGAACAGCGTGGGAAAGGTCTGAGTTAGGAAGGAACATGACATGTTTGAGGAGCTGAAGGAATGTCAGAGTGCTGGAGCCTAGAGGGCAAGAGAGAGGGTGGCCTAAGGTGGACACTGTTCTGGAGATAGGGCCTTGGAGGCTATGCCAGGGACAGACAACATGAGTATCCTAAAAGCAATGTACAGCCAACGAAGGGTTGTAGTGGGAGAGTGAGTGAAGGGGTAGCATTTGCATTTAAGGAAGACCAGTCTGTCTGCTGGTGGGGTTGCGTTGAAGGAGACAGGATGAATAATAGGAAACATCCCTTCAATAATAATTAAGGACTTCTCAAAGGGAGAAAAGACAAATAGTGCAGTATTGTTTCCACATATGGTATGATCAAAGGGTTGGTCCATGGAACCAATTCAGTCGCCTGTGCTTGCCTACACAAGGCCCTAGTATAAAAAGTGAAAAGTCCCGGCACTGCTTAAGACAAAGTATCAGAAAGAAAGATTTCTTGACCTCAGGGCTGTGAGTCTATCTTGTGTTGGCATCAATGAGACTCTGGTTCCTGGGCCATTCCTTTTCTATCTTCACCATGGCAGCCATCATGGGAATCAGCACGGCAGATGGTGGCGCACAGATTGAAATGGGGAAATGGAA
Organism: Homo sapiens; assembly: GCF_000001405.40. Taxonomy (NCBI): domain Eukaryota; kingdom Metazoa; phylum Chordata; class Mammalia; order Primates; family Hominidae; genus Homo; species Homo sapiens. The sequence goes on along the minus strand of NC_000003.12, from coordinate 172,427,374 downwards.
GCATTTTCACTTTGTTTTCTGGGCCTTCATCAACCAGCAAGCGAATGTTAAGCCCTAAAGCCTTAACTGGTTTAAAACTCTCTATCATGAGCCTGAAAGATGTCTGAATGCCTTGTTTATTCACGGAGTTTGTTTTGTAGTGAGAGATGGTTAAGAGCATCCATCAGGCTAGACGGTGGTGTGAAAATCCATCCTCAGTTCTGGTTGCAGAGGAGACACCATGGCAGTTGCCACTACATTGGGGATTTCTGGCTCTTTCCTCATCACCTTAAATTCGGGTGTCTTTTATGAGTAATCAAAAGCAGCAAAAGCCAACGCTATCAGGCCCAGTATTTTAAAACCAGAAAAAGAGATGAAAAAGAGAGGTTTGACCCTACTCAGTTTCAGGACTACGTTATTCAAGGCTGAACTGAAACTGGTACTGATTTGGAAGCAGTAGCTAAGTTTCTTGATGCTTTTCTGGAACAAAACTTGATTACCGTCGATGTGCAGAAACACTCTTTGACATTCTGGTGGGTGGTGGAATGCTGGCCCCAGGTGGTACACTGGCAGATGACATCATGCGTACAGATGTCTGCGTGTTTGCAGCCCAAGAAGACCTAGAGACCATGCAAGCATTTGCTCAGGTTTTTAACAAGTTAATCAGGCACTACAAATACCTTGAGAAATGTTGTGAAGATGAAGTAAAAAGGCTGCTGGTGTTCTGAAAGGGTTTTTCAGACTCGGAGAGGAAAAAACTGGCTATGTTGACTGGTGTTCTTCTGGCTAATGGCATCCATTCTTAATAGCCTTTATAATGAGAATTTGGTTAAAGAAGGGGTTTCAACAGCTTTTGCTGGAAAGCTATTTAAATCATGTATAAATGAAAAAGATATCAATGCAGTAACTGCAAGGAAAGTCAGCATGGATAACAGCCTGATGGAACTTTTTCCTGCCAATAAGCAAAGCGTTCAACACTTCACGAAGTATTTTACTGAGGCAGGCCTGAAAGAGCTTTCAGAATATGTTCGGAATCAGCAAACCATCAGAGCTTGTAAGGAGCTGCAGAAAGAACTTCAAGAACAGATGTCCCGTGGGGATCCATTTAAGGTTATAATTTTATATGTCAAGGAGGAGATGAAAAAAAACAACATCCCAGAACCAGTTGTCATCGAAATAGTCTGGTCAAATGTAATGAGCGCTGTGGAATGGAACAAAAGAGAGGAGATTGTAGCAGAGCAAGCCATCAAACACTTGAAGCAACACAGCCCTCTACTTGCTGCCTTTACTACTCAAAGTCAGTCTGAGCTGACCCTGTTACTGAAGATTCAGGAGTATTGCTATGACAACATTCATTTCATGAAAGCCTTCCGGAAAATAGTGGTGCTTTTTATAAAGCTGTAGTCCTGAGCAAAGAGCCCATTTTGAAGTGGTATAAAGGTACACATGTTGCAAAGGGGAAGAGTGTTTTCCTTGAGCAAATGAAAAAGTTTGGAGAGTGGCTCAAAAATGCTGAAGAAGAATCTGAATCTGAAGCTGAAGAAGGTGACTGAATTTTGAAACTACACCCTCAGTAAAGCAAACAGGAGTTGTAGATAAAATGTCCTGTCTCATGTGTCCTGGTTCTTACATCTTCCTACCTCCCTGTATCAAGCATGATATAAGGGCTTTCATGGCAAATTTTATTTTAACTGTTTCTATGGTTGCTGGAAATGTTGGGTTTAGTTTCTAAAACCATGTTTTAAGTAGCTACAGGAGATATAGATTTGAATCTAATGTTGCATTAGTCTTTTCAGTTATCTTCTACCGCCTGTATTTTCTACTGTAATAATTTAAGACCTTCCACAATGAACAGTTCACTTTATTCCCTGGGTTTTCTATAAACAGTTTTCAAGATATGATTTAGTTAAAAAATAATTTATTATAAAAATTCTGTTTGCAAATTAAACTGTAAAAGTGTCCAAAGTCTCAAAGGCAATGATTTGCGTGATAATATGGCATGCCCAGGGCCCTACTCATCAATGAAAAACCCATATGTAATAATTGAATTCGTTTAACATGAATCTTGAGTATGTGGACCATTGCTTGCCATTAACTTTTTTTGTTTGTTTGTTTGTTTTAACTCCAGTTGTCCTAAAGCTCAATTGTTTGCTCTCTGGGTTTTATCCTTAGAGAAGCCATGGAGAACAGACTTGAAAAGTTTAGGAAATCAAAATGTGGCAGAGGTGGCGGGAAGAAGAAAGATGAGATTTTCCCCTTGAGAAACTTCTGCATTTAGTTTGTATCTTTCCAGGCAAAACAAATGGGTATTTTTTTTATACAACCATTTTCAAATGAACCTTAGAAAAGTCTTATCATTTAAGGTATTTTATGCACAGAATACCCTTAGATTGATAGGAAAAGACTCATAAAGGAGTTTGAGTAAAGAAAATGACTGATGTACTAAACCCAGTAAAAATTGTTGACAATGTTAAAGGTCAGCTTGTTCTAATTGAGAATCTAGATATAGCTTAGATTTCCTATTGGCTTAGAGCATTTGCTATAACAAATGAAGTGCAATGACAATTATATATTCCTACTTGGTCATACTGGACTGGCTTCATTCTCTTAACATATTCTGTAATGACTGAAGCCTTTGGCTATTAACATACCCTAGTTGCCATTTTTAATTGCCATGAGCCAAATATTTCTTGTATACAATTGATCCATTTATTTTCATGGTTGCCTTTTTATTTTCAGCTTTTCTTGCTGCTACCCATCTGTGTATGTAGTCATTGGTGGTGGGGGGAGGGGGGAAATGTAGCCACACTTTTTATAGAAAGACTTTGTGTTAAAAGTGAACATTTTGAAGGTTTTTAACTGGTGAAAGAAACTAGCCTGGGATAATGCCACCAGAGACTGAGTGGAAATCGCCCCTTTTGAAGGTGCCATTCTTATGAGCCAAAAGTTTGTCATTTAAAAGTTCATTTTGAAGGAATAACATGTCATATAATTTGAAATAAAGGTATAGTAACCTTAAAAAGAATACTATAACTTAATATTGTGAATGGGTTGAATTTGTTAAAGGAATAACTTTGATAAAGTTTTCATTCACAGGCAAATGTATTCACTAGATTTCTACATAGTGATCTGATTTTACTTCATAATTTGTAGTTCTCAAAATACTTTTTTTAAAAAAAATAAAGTCCATACTTACACTTAAAAAAAAAAGAAAGAAAATCCATCCTCCACCTCCTCATCTCAGTGAGCAATATCTACCCATTTCCTGAAGCATGAAGTCCAGGTTTATGCTGGGATTCAAAGCTCTGCCCAATCAGATCTGCTCAGGTATCTACTGTTATCTCCTTTGCTCCCCTGCATGCCTTTGAACTCCAGTAATCTGAGCTATTATTTGGTCCATGTATAGGCCCTGTATTTTCTTCTTTCCTTTGCTGATTCATTCATTATGTATCTAGATAGTAGGAATGAAGTAGTGAACAAAGCTAAGTTCCTGTTTTCATAGAGTTTATGTTTTGGTGAGACAGACAGGCTATAAATATTATTCAATCATCTTTATTTTTGTGTATGTCTAATAGATCACCATTATGAACATTTTATAACCATCTTTCTAGATATTTCTCTATGTATACATTGCCTCCACACACACAAACATGCAGGCATGCACGCACGCACACACACACACACACACACACTTTTATATAAATAGAATAAAATTATACACTTGCTTGTTTTCAACTCAAGAAATTATTAAAGAAATCTTTCTATGCTATTGAGTATTAATATAGATCAACCTTCTTAATGTCTGCATAGTTTTCTCTTAAATGTATAGGCTATAATTTACTTAACCCTCTCTGATAGGCCTTCATGTTATTTTCTTTCCTTCTCTATTTTTCAGCCTGAAATTCTCTTTCATTCATTAAGAGATATTCATATAACTTGAACCCTCATTTGCTTCAACTATTTGCTCAAATATAAGAAAAACCTTTGCTAAAACCGTATGACATTGGTCTAGGCAATAATTTTTTAGATTTGATACCAAATGCTCAGACAACAACAACAACAACAAAAGACAAATATGATTACATCAAATGAAAAGTCTTCTGCACAGCAAAGAAACAATTATCAGACTGAAAAGACAACTTATGGAATGGTAGAAAATATTTGCAAGCCATATGTATTAGTCCATTCTCACACTGCTATAAAGAAATACTCAAGACTGGGTAGTTTATAAAGGAAAGAGGTTTAATTGACTCACAGGTTTGTAGGGCTGGGGATGCCTCAGGAAACTTACAATCATGACAGAAGGGGAAGCAAACATGTCCTTCACATAGTAGCAGGAAGGAGAAGTGCCAAGCAAAGGGGGAAAATTCCTTTATAAAACTGTCAGATCTTATGAGAACTCACTATCATGAGAACAGCATGGGGGTAACTGCCCCCTGTGATTTAATTAACTCCCATTGAGTCCCTCCCACAACACGTGGGGATTATGGGAACTACAATTAAAGATGAGATTTGGGTGGGGACACAGTCAAACCATATCACCATACATCTGGCAAAGGGTTAATATCCCAAATATATAAGGAACTCAAGTAACCCAATAGCAATAAAACAACCCAATTTAAGAATGGTCAAAGGACATGAATAGACATTTCTCAAAAGAAGATATACAAGTGGTCAACAGATACATTAAAAATGCTCAACATCCCTAATCATTAAAGAAATGCAAATTAAAACCACAATGAGATATTATCTCATACATGTCAGAATGGCTATTAACAAAAAGATGAAATTTAACAAGTGTTGGCAAGAATGTGCAGAAAAAGGAACCCTTGCACCCTGTTGGTGGAAATGTAAATTACCACTGCTACTATGGAAAACAGTATGGAGTTTCTCAAAAACTACAAATAGAATTGTCATATGATCCAGCAATCCCACTTCTGGGTATATAGCCAAGGATTTGAAATCAGCATGTTAAAGAAATATCTGCACTTCCATGTTTATTGCAGCATTATTCACAATAGCCCAGTTATGGAATCAAATTAAGTATCCATCAACAGATGAATGGATTTTAAAAATGTGTTATAAACACATGATGGAATATTACTCAGTCTTGAAAAGGGGAAATTACGTCCTTTGTGACAACATGTATGAACCTGCAGTACATTGTGCTAAATGAAATGAGCCAGGCACAAAAAGGATATACTGCATGATCTCACTTACGTGTGGAAGCTAAAAAATTGAATACATAGAAGTTGAGTACAGAATGGTGCTTACTTGAGTCTGGGGAGTGGGAGGAATGGCATATGTTGGTCAAAAAACACAATGTTCAGTTAGACCTGAGGAGTAAGTGATAAATATTTGAGGTGATTGATAGATATTTCAATGAGTTTGAGTCAGTAATTCCACATGGTATACATATATCATTTTGTACCCCATAAATACATACAATTATAAATTGTCACTATCCAATTTCAAAAAGAGAGAAGCCTTCTGTAAGCAGCCTCTGTAATATAGTGCCTTCCTTTTCCCCTTATCTTGTTTTATTTTCTTTCAAAGTGCAGACCTGAAGGAACTGAGTGTTCAAGCCATATGACTGTCTACTGATGAATGAAAGGGCATTTCAGACTGAAAAATTTTGAAGGAAAATGTGAAAGGCCACTGAGCTGATTGTGGAGGAGCTGAGACTAGATAGCAGAGCTTCTGACTCTTAGTCAAGGTTTTTTTCTGCCTTAAACACATTGTTTTGAAAAGGAAAGGAAGAAATTTATCTCCTTCAATTAATGCTTTGCTGTCTTCCCCTTAGAGCAGGTTCTCTAAACACAACAGAATTGAATTAGAAATCAATAACAGAAAAATCTGTGGAAAATCCCAATATATTTGGAAATTAGATAAGGTACATCCAAATAACCCATAGATCAAAGAAGAAATTCAAAGAGAAATTACAAAGCATTTCAAACTAAAAAACAAGGTAAGCACATTTCAAAATTTGTGGGATGCCACTGAAGCAGTATATAGAGGAAGATGTATAGCCTAAAATACCTATACTTGACCAAAGAAAGGTCTAAATTATGATCTCAGCTTCGACCTAAGAAACTAGAGAAAAGGGCAAATTAAACTTAAAGTCAGTGGAATAAATGAAATAGTAAAGATCAAAACAGGAATTAAACAACAATTTAAAAAAACAGAGAAACTCAGTGAAACTATAATTCCTTGAGGAAATCCAAAAAGTTGAAAAGTTTCTAGTCATACCGATTAGGATAAAAAGAGAGGGCACAAATCCTCAGTAGGCTTCCAGGTGCTTGCTCTTAGCCACTATGCCATTCACCTCAAACCTAAAATTTAGGAAATAAAATAGGAAATCTGGTATCCAGGAGCCATGGACGCCTTTGGAGAACTGGAAGCACATAAAGACTAACCTTGACATAAGCAAAATAGATAAATCAGAACTAACCTCCAGAACTCACATTGTTTGTGATATTCTGTCCTCAAATCTTCAGCTTGTGAAATATAAGGCTTGTAATCATATGACTGTTCCCCAAGACCTCTTCTGCTTATGATTATCAAATAATGTATGTTTGCTGTTTCACAATAATATCTCACTACTCTAACAGCCCATTTTAAAATCTACTGTTACCTTGCAGGCACAGAAAAGTAGAGAACAAATTGGAGGAGAAGGGAAAAAAAAACAGTAGGATTTGGAAATGAGGTGAGGGGAAGTTGGATGCTGCTGCTGACTGTAAAATCATCACCCTGGTCTCAGGTGACTCACATGGGCTCCTGCTTTTTTTTGCAGTAATTAGTGCATGAAAGAAAATGCATCATCATCTTTAGGCATCACCCACCCGTGGATGATCTTGTGGAAGACAATTTTTATAAAAATTGTACTAATCGCTCATGTCAAGATTAGGGGTATAGTTTAGGAATATTAGAAAAGACATTCAGTAATGAAATAGTAATGAAGTGAGTAGAGTGTTTGAGCATGAAGATCCTGCTCTCTTTCAGTACAAAAACAGGCTACCCACTTTGGACACTAGTAACAAGGGAGCAACAGAAGAAACAGAGAAGGTACTGGCCAGATAAGATTGAAAATGACACTGGTGGCTCAAGGATAGCCTTGTTTTTTTAGTTCAATAGTAACAACTCAGCCTTTCATAACTCAGGAGGAAAACAGATCCAAGCACAGGCCCTCTGATCTTGATGTGGCTTACATTTCAATTCAGGCAGAATTTGTAACTTCACTGGGTGGTGTTAATGAAACACAGGGCACATTGACTCATTTCTGCTTGACATTTAATTTGCTTCATGATTCCTAGCATATTCTGCTGTCTGCTGATACAGGTGTTTTCAAGATGGATAGAGCATCCAAAAGGTGTTGTATTGTTAAAAGAGGTGATAATACTGAGAGGAAAGCACTGGGAGGAAAAAATGTAAGATCTATGTTCTGTGGAAAGCAATTTGTGTTTTTTCAAAGAACTTAGAACTGCCATTCAACCAAGCAATCCCATTACTGGGTATATTCCCAAAGGAATATAATTTATTCTACCAAAAAGTCACATGTATGCATGTGTTCCTCACAGCACTATTCACAATATCAAAGACATCAAATCAACATAGATACCCATCAGTAGTGGACTGGATAAAGCAAATTTGGTACATATATACCCTGGAATTCTATGCAGCCATAAAAAGGAATGAATTCTGGCCTTTGCAGCAACATGGATGTAGGTGGAGGCCATTATCCTAAGTGAATTAGTGCAGGAACAGAAAACCAAGTGCTGCATGTTCTCACTCATAAGTGGGAGCTAAACTCCTTAAGTACACATGGACACAAAGGTGAGAAAACAGATACTAAGGATTACTAGAGTGGGGAGAGAGAGAGAGAGGGATAAGTGTTGAAAAACTACCTATTGGCATTCTATGAGGCCAGTAATACCCTGATATCAAAACCACCCAAATACACATCATAAAAATAAAACTACAGGCCAATATCCCTGATAATCATTGATGCAAAAACCCTCAAAAAAATACTAGCAAACGGAATTCAACAACACATTAAAAAGTTCATTCATCATGAACTTATTTATTCCAGGGATGCATTCCAGGGATTTATTCCAGAGATGCAACGATGGTTCAACATATGCAAATCAATAAATGTGGTACATCATATAAAAGAATGAAGGACAAACATCATATGATTATTTCAATTGATGCTGAAAAAGCATTTGATAAAATTTGACATCCCTTCATGGTAAAAACCCTCAAAAAAACTGGGTATAGAAGGAATATACCTTAACATAATAAAAGCCATATATGACAGATCTACAGCTAGTATCATACTGAATGGGGAAGAACTGAAAGCCTTTCCTCTTATATCTGGAACACAACAAGGATGCCCACTTTTGCCAGTGTTATTCAACATAGTAGTGGAAGTCCTCACTACAGCAACCAGACAAGAAAAAGATATAAAGTGTTTCGAAATTGGAAAGGAAAATGTCAAATTATCCTTGCTTGCAGATGAAATGATCTTATATTTGGAAAAACCTAAAGACTTCCCCAAAAAATTATTAGATCTGATTAAACAAATTCAGTGAAGTTGCAGGATACAAGATCAACTTACAAAAATCAGTAGCATTTATATAAACAGCAAAAAATCTGAAAAACAAATCAATAAAGTAATCTCACTTACAATAGTTACAAAATAAAATAAAATACCTAGGAATTAACTGAAGCAAAGAAGTAAAAGTTCTCTACAATGAAAACTATAAAACACTGATGAAAGAAATTGAAGGGACACCAAAAAATGGAAAGATAGTCCATGTTCATGGATTGGAAGAATCAATATTATTAAAATGTTCATACTACCCAAAGCAGTGTACAGATTCAATGCAATCCCTATCAAAATACCAATTACATTCAACACAGACACAAATAAAACAATCCTAAAATTTATATAGAATCACAAAAGACCCAGAATAGCCAAACTATCCTGAGCAAAAGAACAAGCTGGAGAAGTCATGTTACCTGACTTTATACTACAGATAGAGCTATAGTAACCAAAACAGCATGGTACTGGCACAAAAACAGACACATAGACCAATGGAATAGAACAGAGAACCCAGAAACAAATCCACACACCTAGAGTGAACTCATTTTTTTTTGAGACGGAGTCTCACTCTGTCACCCAGGCTGGAGTGCAGTGGCATGATCTCGGCTCACTGCAAGCTCTGCCTCCCGGGAGTGAACTCATTTTTAATAAAGCTGTCAAGAACATACACTGGGGAAAAGACAGTCTCTTCAATATATGATGCTGGAAAAACTGGATATCCATATGCAGAAGAATGAAACTAGACCCCATCTCTCACCATATAAAAACATCAAATCAAAGAGGATTAACAACTTGAATGTAAGACCTCAAACTACGAAACTATTAAAAGAAAACATTGGGGAAACTTGCCAGGACTTTAGAGTAGGTAAGGATTTCTTGAGTAAGACCCCACAAGCACAGGCTGTTGCCTGTGCAACAATGAACAATGTGCAACAACGACAATGTCAAAAATGAACAAATGGGATCATATCAAGTTAAAAAGCTTCTGCCCACCAATGGAAACAATCAACGAAGTGAAGAGACAACCCATAGAATGGGAGGAAGTGTTTTCAAGCTACTAATCTGACAAAGTATTAATAACCAGAATATATAAGGAGTTCAAACAACTCTTAGAAAAAAAAATCTAATGGCCAGGCGCGGTGGCTCATGCCTGTAATCCCAGCACTTTGGGAGGCCGAGGTGGGCAGATCACGAGGTCAGGAGATCAAGACCATCCTGGCCAACATGGTGAAACCCTGTCTCTACTAAAAATACAAAAAATTAGCCGAGCGTGGTGGCAGGCGCCTGTAGTCCCAGCTACTCAGGAGGCTGAGGCAAGAGAATGGCGTGAACGCGGGAGGTGGAGCTTGCAGTGAGCTGAGATCGTGACACTGCACTTCAGCCTGGGCGACAGAGCGAGACTCCATCTAAAAAAAAAAAAAAAGAAAAAAAAATTCTAATAATCTGATTAAAAATGGGAGAAAGATTTGAATAGACATTTCTCAAAAGAAGACATACAAATGGCAAACAGGTATATGAAAATGTGCTCAACATTATTGATCATCAGAGAAATCCAAATCAAAACTACAATGAGATATTATCTCACCCCAATTAAAAGGGCTTTTATCCAAAAAACAAGCAATAACAAATGCTGGCAAGGATCTGGAGAAAAGGGAACCCTCATACACTGTTAGTGGGAATGTAAATTAGTACAACCAACAGGGAAAACAGTTTGGAGACTCCTCAAAAAACTAAAAGTAGAGCTACCATATGATTTAGAAATCCCACTGCTAGGTGTATACTCACAAGAAAGGAAATCAGTATATCAAAGAGATCTCTGCACTCCCTTGTTTATTGCAGCACTACTCACAATAGCCCAAATTTGGAAGCAACCTAAGTGTCCATCAACAGATGAATGGAAAATAAAATGTAGTACATATAAACAGTATTATTCAGCCTAAAAAAAGAAAGAGATCTTGTCATTTTCAACAACATGATTGGAACTGGAGATCATTGTGTTATGTGAAATAAGCTAGGAACAGAAATATAAACTTCATATGTTCTCACCTATTTGTGGGAGCTAAACATTAAAACAATGAACTCATGGAGATAGTAGAAGAATTGATACTGGAGGCTGGGAAGGACTGTGGGGTCGGGGGGAGGAAGTGGGGATGCCTAATGGGTACAAAAACGTAGAGAGAGTAAGAACCAGTATTTCATAGCACAAAAGGGTGACTATAGTCGATAATTTAATTGTACAGTTTAAAGTAACTAAAAGAGTATAATTGGATTGTTTGTAACACAAAAGATAAATGCTTAAGGTGATGGATACTCCATTTACTCTGGTGTGATTATTATGCATTGCATGCTTGTCTCAAAATACCTCATGTACTACATAAACATATACACCTATTATGTACCCACAAAAAGGAAAGAGAAAAAGAAATATTACCTGTTGGGTACTATACTCACTACCTGGGTGGCAGGATTATTCATACCCCAAACCTCAGCATCACACAATATTAACAAGCCTGCACATGTACTCATAAAATAATTTTTGAAAAATCTGGGTTCTGTGCAAATTCAACCTTTCAACACTAGTTATGATTCTTCTAATCATAAGAGGTCATGCTTTCAGTGTCTATTGTGATTTCGGTCTCCTTAAATTTAATATGCCTAGCAAAAAATCCAAGAAAGAAATATGAAGACTCAAGTAATTTCTGGTTAACATCTATATAAGAAAGACACAGTATTTTCCTCAAAGTCTCAGGAATTCAAGGTTTTTTGACTTGCCAACACATAAAAGAATAGGATGTGAGTGGTTGATTGTATGAAGATTTATTTGGCAATGACATGATAACAGTTTTAATAACCAATGCTATGTTTTCCCAATTTTGGACAATGATCCATTATGCCATGTAAATTTTCTAGGGAACAGAATAATGAGAGGTGAGAAGAAGACATCTACCTAAGAAGTAAGTAACATGTTTGTTCAGCGTATGCTCCGAGGTAAAAACTGGGCTAGACGCAGGAGATTTAAGAAGAGAAATGTGAACGATAATCTACAAAGAGAAATATGGGCTCCAGAGTCAGGCAAGCTTGCATTTGAATCCTTGCTCTGTTGTTCTGTGATGTTGTGAGGCTATTTTGATTACAATTGCTGCATAATACATTACCCCAAAACTTGTTGTAAAGCAACAATCATTTCATTCTGCTCACGATTTTGTGGGTATTTCAGGAAGCGCTGAGCTGGGCAGTCTCTCATGTGGTTACAGCCAGATGTCGGGTTGGGCTTCAGTCATCTGAAATCTTGACTAGATTGAGCCAGATGTGAGACCAAGCTGGCTTACTTACATGGATGGCAGTTGATGCTGGCTGTTGGCTCGGAGCTCAGCCATGTTCAGGTGATGTTCCGGCATGGCAGCCTTTGGACTGTCAAAATTCTTACATGGTGGTCTTCTGCCAGAGGTAGAGTTCCAACAGAACCAGGTAGATGCGCAGAACTTTATGACAAAGCCTTGGCAGCCACATAAAGATATTTTTGGTCACATTCTCTTGGTCAACGCATAGACAACCCCATCCAGATTCAAGGATAGGGAATTAAACTGTACTCTTTGAGACGGACTTGTACGGCCACATAGTAGAAGATGAGAGAAATGATTGCAGTCATCTTCAGAAAATATCTGCCACAGTGACCTTGAGAAAATAATCTCTTTAAAGCTCAGTTTCCCTATTGGTAAAACGAGAATAACAATTTTTTTTTTTTTTTTGAGATGGAGTCTCGCTCTGCTGCCCAGGCTGGAGTGCAGTGGCGCAATCTTGGCTCACTGCAAGCTCCGCCTCCTGGGTTCACGCCATTCTCCTGCCTCAGCCTCCCGAGTAGCTCAGACTACAGGGGCCCACTACCACACCTGGCTAATTTTTGTATTTTTAGTAGAGACGGGGTTTCACCTTGTTAGCCAGGATGGTCTCAATCTCCTGACCTCATGATCTGCCCACCTCGGCCTCCCAAAGTGCTGAGATCACAGCTGTGAGCCACCGCACCTGGCCAAGAATAACAATATCTTATAAAGTATTACTATGATAACAAAATGAAATAATGCTTATCAGAGGCTTAGCTTCATGTGGGGGAATCCAGCAAGTGCTTAATAAATGTTTGTGATCAACACAGAGTCCCAGGCCTTGTGCTGCTTATTCTAGCTCCCATTTTATAGGCCTAGGATACAAAGCCATGCCACATTTCTTCGTAATTCTCAAGTTGTAAGTGCCTCTAACTCCCCTGTTGCATATTCTTTAGAAGATTCTTCTCTCCTCCTTGGTGTCTGACCTACTGTGATGATATTGAAATCCTCATTAAGTCTTTGTTATTCATTTTCTTGACACTGCTCCTTGTGTCCCATCTTTGCTAATGGAAACTGCTTACTGTTGATGGGCATCTCCACAAAGACTTCTTAAGGCATCTTTCCTGTTCTAAACCCTGTCCTCCTCTCCTCCAGTTCCAAACCATCCTCCATCCTTCTGGCCTTTCACTCTCTGAAGACTATTCATTCCTTCTCTTTCTGAAAGAACAGAGGCCCTTCCAAACATGAGTTTTCTCGTGACCCTCTTCTCCATTCCTACACTTAGCCTTACATTCATTCATTGTATTTTTCTCATCTTTTATCTCAAATGAAGTCATATTTCTACTAGTTTCTAAGGTTAAATCCTTTAGTTGTGCTTTCAGTTCTCATTTATGTCATCTTCTACAGAACATTGTTACACTGATTATACCTTCTCCTGTATCTTCAATTGCTACTTCTAGATTAGAACTGTCTCTTGGATCTACCAAATACCTAAGTCTCTCCTCGTTTACAAATAAAAGCTAACTAACCACGCACATCCTTCCTTTAACTTTGTTTCTCTGACCAGCTACTGTTCTCTTCTTTTCTTCACTCCAGACCCCACTGACTACAAGTCCTCATCACTATTCATTTTTCACTGTGTAATCCGTCTCCTGCCTTGTCTTTCTGGAAACTATTCTTACAAAGGACTCCTGGGGCCCTCAGATTGTCTTAAGCAACTGAGTTTTGAGGTGGCTTGTTATACAATAATAGCTGAATAACACAGTGGTCAAGCCAGGATCTTGACGCTTGTGATGATTGCAAAACCTACTGTCTTTCTGCTTCATCAGATGTTAGAAAATAAGGCTAACGCATTATTATAGGAGCTTCGACTTTCAAGTGAAGGAGTCATAGAGAATATTTAGAAGAGTTTTTTTTAAAACCATAAGGGTTCGTATCAGGGATTATTATAGGTAGAGGGGATGGGGGGAGCAGGATATTAAAAGAGAATCAATCCTCTGGAGAGTTTTTCGAAACATACACTCCTAGCTTCTCCTTTCTCCCAGCTGTTTCTTATTCGCTCCCTGGTAGTTGGGGTTGTTTGAAGTCTCTCTCAGCATCCTTGTTGCCATCCAGTCCAACCAATCATTTTTTTGCAGAAGAAAACTGAAGCCTGGAGTAGCCAAGTGATTTGCTTAATGTTTCAAACTTGCTAAATGCCACGATTTTATACTCACTTTTTAATAGTGTGTGTGTGTGCTTTTACTTGTTCTTGTAAACCATTAAATGCCTGTTCATAGCAAGCTGAGCAATATTGAAGTCTATAAGAAAACTTTTTTTTTTTTTGAGACAGGGTCTCACTCTGCCACCCAGGCTGGAGTGCAGTGGTGCAATCATGTCTCACTGTAGCCTTGACCTCCAGGGCTCAGGCAATCTTTGCTCTTGAGCCTCCTAAGTAGCTATGACCACAGGTGCATGCCACAATGCTAATTTTTAAAATATTTTTGTAGAGATGCGTTTTCCCATTGTATTAGTCCATTTTCACACTACTATAAAGAACTTCCCGAGACTGGGTAATTTATAAAGGGAAGAGGTTTAATTGACTCACAGTTCCACATGCCTGGGGAAGCCTCAGGAAACTTACAATCATGGCAGAAGGGGAAGCAGACACGTCTTACATGGTGGCAGGTGAGAGAGAGAGGATGTGTCAGCGCAGGAAAAAACCACCATTTATAAAACCATCAGATCTCGTGAGAATTCACTTGCTAACACAAGAACACCATGGGGGAAACCATCCCAATAATTCAATCATTTCCCACCAGGTCTCTCCCTAAACACCTGGGGATCACAATTCAAGATGAGATTTGAGTGGGAACACGAAGCCTAACCTTATGAGCCATGTTGCCCTGGCTGGTCTCAAACTCCTGGGCTCAAGCAATCCTCTCACCTCAGTCTTCCAAACTCTTGGCATTACACACGTGAGCCACCATGCCCAGTCAGAAAACATTATTTCTTACTTTCCTTTTGTACTTGATCTTACTGAGGTAATCAATATTAATGGCTTGATAATCCTTCCATACTTTTCTGTGCTGGTATTTCTTTCATATTGTAGTAAGTCAGGGATATATTTCCAGGTGAGTAAAGATGGTTTAATTCATTTTCCCATTTTTATTGAGATATAATTGACATAACATGAAATTTATTTACTCTTTTAAAGTTTATAACTCAGCAGTTTTTAGTATATTCACGAGGTGTGCAACCATCTACCTTATCTAATTCCAGAACATGTTTATCATCCGAAATAGAAACCCTGTGTCTATTACCAGTCACTCTCGAATTGTCTTTCCTCCCGTTACTGGCAACTACTAACTTTTTTGTCTGTATAGATTACCTCATTCTAGGCATTTCATATAAATGGAATTATAAAATATATGGACTTTTGTGTCTGAATTTTTACTTAGCATGTTTTCAAGGTTCTTCCATGTTATTGCATGTATCAGTACTTTGTTCCTTTTTATGGTCAAATAATCTTTCATTGTATGGATCTATTACATTTTGGTTATTCATTCATCACATGATGAACATTTGGCCATTGTGACTAATGCTGCTATGAACATTTGATGGCAGTGGTGGGCCATCTGGTGTGGCCAAGGGGAGGTGGCAGACAGCCTGCCCCCGCCTCCCGCAGCCCGCCACCCTAGGGGCCACCACAATGGGACCAGGCCGTGGGCTTGGTGAAGGGGAGCTCCAGGCCACCCTTGAGCACTGGAGCCACAGGGGGAGCTCCTGGCCTCATCACCCCTGTCCCAGATGCCCACCCAGGCCCAGTGAGGACCCAGAGCAACCCCCAACCCCCAGGCTGCAAGGGGGCACAGCCGTGTGCCATGCTCCATGGAGCTGGTGGGAGCCAGGTACAAGCAGGAGCCCTGCCCCTTCCAAGTTGGTGGGGCGGGACCTTCCCAGGTGCAACTGCAGCCACCTAAGTGGCATTTGCAACCTGGGCATCCCATGCTTTTGGGACTTGGGCATGCACAGGAGCCCCACCCTCCTGGGCAGGGCTTCAGCCACCCAAGCTGTGGCTGTGGATCCAGGCCTTCTGCTTTAGAGAGCTGGCAGGAGTCCCGCTCCCCAGGCGAGGCGCAGTTGCAGCCAACCAAACTGTGGCTGCAGATGCAGGCATCCTTGCAGCTTGGGGGGCCTGGGAAGGCCCCCCTGCCCTTGCAGGCTCGGAGTTGCCTGCTCCTGCTGCCTCATGTCTTCCTGCTCCCGTACCTGCTACAATCTTGGAGCGGGGTTAGGGCCAAGCCTGGGGGCTGTCACAGCCCGACCAGGTGGGCGCATGCTTGGGGCAGTGGTGACTTGCCAGCTCCTTGCTGGCTCAGCCCTCTCTGGGGGATAAGATGAGGGCAGCTGAGTGCTGGCCTGCAGGTGCCCTTTGGTGCCAGCAGCCTGGGTGCCATGGACGGCTGAGGGAGGGAGACAGGCTCCTGGGCAGAAGCAGGCAGATCCCCAGTAAGGCCCCACCTTCAGGCCAGGGAGGACTTGAAGGCTAGGGGCCAGGCTGCCAGTCCCGAGACCTGAGTGAGGATTTGTGACGCCTCTTCCAGGCCCACTCATGGCTGCCCATGGACCAATGAGCATGCACTTCCTTCCTTCTGAGGTCCATAAAAGCCCCAGGCTTAGCCAAAGGAGGGCAGAGAATGCGAGAAGGGAGAGACTATGGTCTGGAAAACCAGCTGCAGAGAGGAGCTACCCTCTCTGCTGAGAGCTTCAGAGACCTGCAGAGACGTTGGGACTATCAGCTGCAGAGAGGAGTAACCTTCTCCAGGACCTCCTCTCTTCTGAGAGCTGAACACTTGAGGGTGACCTGCCCATAGAGAGGACCTACCCACTGCAGGACTCCTTTGAGCTGTTCTAACATTTAAAGCTCATCTGTGCACCCTTCACTTGTCTGCGTACCTCATTCTTCTTGGCCAAGAACTTGGGCAAAGGCGCTTTTGGTCACACAGGTTTCCAGCCAGAAAATCAACATCCCGAAGATCCTTTATGAACAAGTTTTCTCATGGAGCAGGGCTCCTGACTGCTCTCTAAAGCATGAGGATGCTTTTACTTAATTTTATTTCCAAGTTACTCTAGCTACAACTTTCAGAACAATATTGAATAGAAGTAGCAAGAGTAAGCCTCCCTGACTTGTTCCTGATCTTAGCAGGGTAAGTGTTCAGTCTTTCGCTGTTAAGTATGTTTGTTGTGGGTTTTCATAGATGCTGTTTATCAAGTTGAGGAAGGTCCTGTCTATTCCTAGTTTGGTGTGTGTGTATATATATATATATATATATATATAATCATGAAAGACTGTTAGATTTTGTCAAATGCTTTTTATATGTCTGTTGAGATGATTATATTGTTTTTGTCCTTTATTCTATAAATATGGGGAATTACATTAGTTAGTTATATGTTGAACCAATCTTCCATTCCTGAGGTAAATTTATTTGTCATGGTTTTTAATCCTTTTTATATGTTGCTGGATTCTATTTGCCAGTATTTTGTCGAAGATTTTTGCATCTGTATTTATTTTGGTTTTAATTAAAAAATTAAAGCTTTCCTAGATTCAGATCTGTTGTTTTCTTATGATGTGAATTCATTTTTAATAGATCTAAAATAGTTAATAATTTGAATGCATTGCTCTATCAATAAATATTTAAATTGTTTTTCTTTAATAAGCAGTGCTGAAATAAATATCCTTGCATGTACACCCTTACATATGAATTCATTTTTTCTTTAGACTTTTAAGATTGCTTGGTTAAAGTATATGTTCCATTTTAAAATGTAGTATTTCCAGATTACCTTCAAAAATGCTATAGTAATTGACATCTTCCTAGAGAGATAGATAGGTGATTTCCCCATACTTTTTCCAATGTGATATTGATTATTTATTTATTTATTTATTTAAGATGGAGTTTTGCTCTTGTTGCCCAGGCTGGAGTGCAGTGGTGTAATCTCAGCTCACTGCAACCTCCACCTCTCCAGTTCAAGTGATTCTCCTGCCTCAGCCTCCAGAGTAGATGGGATTACAGGTGCTCACCGCCACACCTGGCTAATTTTTGTATTTTTAATAGAGACAGGGTTTCAGCATGTCTGTCAGGCTGGTCTCAAACTCCTGACCTCAGGTGATCCACCTGCCTCGGCCTTCTAAGTGCTGGGATTACAGGCGTGAGCCACCACACCTGGCCAGGATATTGATCTTTTTTTTTTTTGCTTAAGGGCTAAATATTTCCCATTAGTTGAATTTTAATTTTCCTAACATGTACCAAGGTTGAACATTGTTCTCTATGATTTTTGTAATTTATATTTCTTCTGTAAACCGCTTTGGTATTTAAAAATTTGTATTCCTATTCCATTGCTGCTGTAACAAATTATCAAATATTTCTTCTATTTACTTGCTTTGCTTTTTTTTGTTTGTTTGTTTTTGAGATGGGATCTCACTCTGTCACCCAGGCTGGAGTGCAGTGGAGCGATCATGGCTCATTGTAGCCTTGACATCCCAGGCTCAATTTATCCTCCCACTTCAGCATCCTGAGTAGCTGGGACTACAGGCGTGAGCCACCACACCCAGCTATTTTTTTCTTTTTTTTTTTTTTTTTTTGGTAGAGACTGGGTCTCACAGTGTTGCCTAAGCTGGTCTCAAACTCCTGGGCTCATGTGATCCTCCTGCCTCAGCCTCCCAACGTGCTGAGATTACAGGTGTGAGCCACCATGCCTGGCTACTTTGCCTATTTTTTAGAATGAAAAAAAAAAGTTTGTTTTTGTTCTTATTAATGTATAGGAGCTTTTGCATATGAGGAATATTAACCCTTTGCCAACGTTGTTTCACAATTATTTTCTCTATTTTTAATAAGTTAAATGTGTCACTCTTTTCCCTTTAGGCTTTTAGATTTCTATTTAACACCTCACCTATCCTATGTAATGTCACACAAATATTCTATATTTTTAAAATCTGTATTCATTTTTTACTGCTGCTGTAAGAAATTACTACAAATCCCTTGTCAATGAGCAAGCTGAATAAAGCAATCCAGAAATATACTTACAAGCACTTGTGAGAAATTTGCTTAGATGACAGACGGAAAGAAAATCTCAGGGCTTGGCTCTGAAGGGCTGGATACTGTTGCAAGGTGGAGGGCCTCAGCAAGGGTGGGCACATGGGCAAACAGGTCTATTTCCTGGAGATCAGGGCTCTCCTGGGGAAACCTAGCAAGAGTTCAGCAAACTCCTTTGGCCTTTCAACATTCATGTCTTCAGAACCCACTCCTGCACTTCCTTTCCTTTTACCTACTTGGTATCATATGTTTACTCTTTTCTGTAGCATTTTTTATTTCCTAGCCCCTTTGTGGTAGCACTGAAATCAGCTTTGTAGAAGTGTGGTGTGTTCCCTGAGCAGAGGTACTGGAGTTGACTGGACAACTCTCCCGAATGGCAGTTTTGCAATACAGATTTCAATGTTTACAGCACGTGGTGCTAATTTTTTCAACCAAAGAATTGTGGAGGCTGCATGTACGTGGAGGATCTTGCAGGCTGTCCTCTGATTATTTCTATCAAGGAACTGTAGTTTGGACTGAAGCCCACCTACCTTAGAGTCTAGTCTTCATAGAATCGTAAAGACGTTAGACGGTGTCGTTCAATTTGCCTTCACTGGAGGAACCCAAGGCTCAGAACTGAGACTTATCACTCCTTGTCTTCTGCGAAAGTCAGTCCATTTTTTATAGAGATGATAGTCCCTTCCTCAAACATCTGACTTTCAGATGAGTACACTTGTGCCTTTTCTTTAATCAGAAAGAGTGAGAATGGCAGTGAAAGGATAAACTCAAGCCTGAAGTTCCAGACTATAGCTGCTGGTCCTTTAATATGTGCTTAAACCTTATTTTAACTTTTACTTTAGCCACAACTTTCAGTACAATATTGAATGGAAGATTATGGGTTGAAGCAGCAAAAGTCTCTGGGTCACACCACTGTTGTCAAATTTTAGTTACCAAATTAGTTGAGTTCAATTCAACAAACCTTTGATTAATTTACAAACGTGTTATGTTGCATAGCCATTTGTATTTTAGGATGCTTATTTTAACATCACAATACTTAGGAGATAAAGTCTAATGCTGATACCGTTGTTGTTCACATCAGTTAAAATACAATAACAATAAATTCTGAAGGGCTTTTTGACAGGTAGCACAGCATAGGGGTAAGGTACACCAGCCTCAGAAATTAACGAGAGCTGGGGTTGAATCTTCCATCAACACTTTACTTAGATGCTTTGCCCAGGTTACTTAAGCACTTATCCTTCAAGAGCATGGATATACTCACCTCAAACTGTTGATATGAGGCATAAATGAGATAATGTATGTCAAGTGCTTAGCATGAGCTCACAAATAAGTGCTCTAATTCAGCACAATTTTATTTTGGTTTTAATTTTAAAAATTAAAGCTTTCCTAGATTCAGTCTATATTGCTTGAAGGGTGAAAAATAAAACAAAAACACAGAGGCCAAATTTGAATAAATTCCCAGCACAAAAAAAACTTTGAGGCTGTGCCTTTTGCACACAGTACACCCTACTTTAAATAAGCCTCCTTTGCAATAGGAAATCAGGTGTTAAATGCTTTCTGTCCTAGGTGGGAAATTTTGGGGTTTGGTCTTAGAAACTCAAGTCCAATTAACTTAAACATAAAGGGAAATTTATCATAAGGAAAACAGGGAAATGGGTCTCAGCAAACTGAAAAACAGGATGAACTGGGCCTTAACTAGGGTCCTTGTAAGGAATCTATTCCTTAATAGATTAAATTAGTATCTAATAATCTAATAGGAATAGATTAGATTATTAATAAGAAATTATTCCTTAATCCTCTTCTTTTCTCTTTTCCTGCTAGCTTCCTTGCTTCCCCTCACTGAACACTGGCTTTCTCTACATCAAGAAAACCAGCTGCCCCGAATTTTCAAGCTTTTCATCTTACAGCTTCAGCCACTGGAGCAAGACCAACTGGAGTCTTAATCCCACATCCAGGGATGGGTCCAGGTGCAGGCTAGGGACCCAATTCTTGAATAATGCACCTTAGTCTGTGCAAGGGGTCTTGGGAGAACACAACTTCTAGAGAACCAAATGGATAAAGTTGGGGTGGAAGAGGGTGTCTCTGGCTCGCTGCTCCTAGGAAAGACCGTCAGACAAAACAAGAGGCCCACTGTACCCTTGCTGTCTCCCCCAGGCCTAGTTTAAAATCAACATCTATTTTCTTATCTCAGGCTCTGCAAAATAATGATGTATATACAACCTTCAGGGTTTGTGCTAAAGAACTTTTACTTTCCAAATGCCAATTTTCACTCATGTGACTATTCAGAAGTACTGAACAGGGAAAAATGCACAGTAAAACAGGAAATTCTAAGCCAGTTATTGAGGCTGGTGGGGATCAGCTGCACAAACTTTCTAGTCCAGTTCAATTTCCAGCTCTATGTGGATCAAGGTTTTTCTTCTCTCTCTCTCCTCCAACAGAACTCTTCACCTGCAGAAAAAAAAAATGTATGTGCAGGTGCTAGCATACAAATGTGTTCTGTTCCATAGATCCACTTGTATCTCAGGAGGCAGTGTTCCATGGTGCATCATTCTCAAACTTTGGTCATTTGCTTATCGTCCCTTTGATTTCTGCCATATCTGAGTAGCCCTTGCACTATGAGTTACTTATTATATTTATCAACTTAAATATCCACTTTAATCTGATCTGTTTTTCTTTGGTATACCTCCTTGGTACAGATGACAAAAACTACATAATTTGAAAGATGTTAGACATGTGCCACTTAGGATTGTCTTGTATAACCACCTTACTTTGGGAAACACTGTTAGAGTAGAAAATCAGAGACATTCAATGGCTCATAGATGCAAAAAATTTTATCTGAATTGAACATATTTCTCTTATAACTGATTGGACAGAAAATAAAAATCCATACCTTTAGTCCTAAGAAAAAATTAAGACCCATCTTTTACTATATTTATCCTTTGACTCAGAAAAGGGGGAAGAAATTTCATTTCTTTGATATGGTTTTGTTTGCCACAAAAATGGATTTTTATTACACAAATAATTCATTTTTCATTTATTTTATTGAGACTGAGTCTTGCTCTGTTGCCCAGGCTGGAGTGCGGTGGCACGATCTCGGCTCACTGCAACCTCTGCCTCCTGGGTTCAAGTGATTCTCCTGCCTCAGCCTCCTGAGTAGCTGGAAGCTCCTGCCACCATGCCTGGCTAATTTTTGCATTTTTAGTACAGACTGGGTTTCACCATGTTGGCCAGGCTGGTCTTGCACTCCTGATCTCAAGTGATCCAACCGCCTCGGCCTCCCAAAGTGCTGGGATTACAGGCATGAGCCACCACATCTGGGGCCCATTTTTCATTTATAAGGCTAAAATATTAGTTAAGACCAAACAACTCTTTAACCATCATTTCCCCACTCCCTATTAGGGTTAATCCGAGTTATGAATTCGGATTGTATTGTTCCAGACTTCTTCCTTTGCATCTGGCCACTGTAATCTCTGTTCAGCTTAATGGTCCTCTAATGACTGTTCGCAGATTTCCTTAAATACCAGGAACCAATAAATCTTCCACTCTTTGTCAAGGGCTCCGAATGTTGAAGTACACCTTTAAAGCTCAGGAAGTTTACAATTCTGGTTAAGCCAAGACCTTGACAACAGACAGGAGTGAAGGATGGGGGCGTTCTCCATCTTCTGAGTCCGGGCACAGCCGTGCACATGCATATGGTCTGCTAGATCCCCACGACCATGTCAGAAACTTTGAAAAGCCTCCTATGGACATTTCATTCCCCCGATCTTCAAGTTTTTAGCCTATTTATTTACTTCAACTGGTACTACAGCCTAGGCAGCTACTGGGTTAAACAACTGCACTGATTATTTTCCAACAAGTACCCTGGGTATTAGGCTTTTCCCATGGAGCAGCTGCCAGTCAGTTTAAATAACACCCTACAAATGGCACCTTTTCCAGGCAGCTGTGAGGTACGATAAACAGTGACAATGCTCTGGGGAGGAGACGTTTTGAGGAGCTCCAAACTGAGTATGCTCCCTCTCCTTGCTGCAGGGGTGCTGATTCCAAGACTACGGTGGAGCTTCAGAGAGCTAGGATGGAGCAGATTGAGTTAAAATGCCACAAAACCAGCTGTTCGTACCAAGGTTCAGATGGATGCAAACCTGCGGTTAATTTCCAAAGTTCTAGAAAAGTTGATTCTGGTACTTTTTTGCTAGTGTTTTTGTTGTTTTTATGGAGAAGTGGATTTATGGAGGTCCTCATTCCATCATTGTGGATGTCCTGTCCATGTTTACTCACCTTTGATGGAGATATCAGAAAAGATAACATCCATATCCATGCCAGAGATTTAGTGAAAAATGTGATCAAGAGCAGAACAAAATGCCCCAACCAGCAAAGGCAGCCAATATTCATCTCCATGGATAACCTCCGTGTCAGAACAAGACCTAGAGTTGCCAGGTCTTCCAACTTTCAGTAGAATCTGGAATTCCAGTATTTTATGTAAAATTTCCAAATTTTAAAATATTGACAACTACTTCATTAAAAAAGAAAGTATTGCACTGAAAATAACACACTTGAGGGGAAAGATTATGGGTTGAAGCAGCAAGTCTATGGATCACATCACTGTTCTGCCAACTTTGGTTACCAAATTAGGTGAGTTCAATTCAACAAATCTTTTTTAGCTTCTAATATGGGCCAGAAAATGTGCTAGATGCTGCAAAGTTAAAATGAGGCTTGCTGCCCCATGCACACACTCCCTTCCCCCAGCTTTTGAGGTACTAGTCTAGCAGTGGAGGTGGGAATTATTTTTCAGTTGTCACCCTGAATAAAGGGTATCTGTAGACAAATTTAACTATTGATTTTAATTGGCTCAAGGCAAAATACCCTGAGAGATTTGTTTAAAAGGCTCATTTTTACACTCCTCCTGTTTAGGGAAATGTATGTGTGCACTCAGGTCAATTGGGGATGGGGAAAGGGTAAGAACGTGATAGTTGCATAAATCCTCTCGTGGCATAGGGTCAGAGAGCCAACTTCTGACCTAAATAAAAAGCACTGGAAACAGAATCTCATAGATGTTTCTTTGATTCATTCACTTATATGGGAAAGCTTATCCTCCAGTAGCTTCCTGAGAAAAGGTGCATGAGAGACAAACTTGTGGGAGTTTCCAGTTTAAAAAATGTCTTCGTGGTAGCTTACACTTGACTGAGAGTAGGCAGGCGAGAAATCTATTATATTTCTTTCAAAATCTTGAAGCAACTGCTTATGTCTAACGCCACGCTTGATTCCCAATCCTTCTATGTGACCAGCTTTTCATGTTGGGGAGGTTCTCTAGTGTTGAAACTTCAAGATGGCGAGCCTTAGTACAAGTCCTATTTTCATCCATTGTGTTGTGTGCTCCCATACCCTATTATTCTAGAAACTCATGTGTTTAACGATTTCCTCTCTTCCACTTTCTGTTCTTTCTGGAGTTCCTATTACTTGGATATTGAATGGTCCTGGTCTGATCCTAATCTTTTCCTTTCTTTTTTCCTCAAATTTTCAGGTTATTTGCTAAATTTCAGCTTCCAACCATGCTACCGAATGTTTAATTTCCAAGAACATTTTCTTGTTAACAGTTCCTTTTCTATAGTAGTCTATCTTTATTCTACAGATGCCTTTTCTTTTCTCATCTCTCTGGAGATATGACAGGTTTTTGAAGCTTCTTCTCCATGTAGTCTCTGATTCTTCCAAGTTGTTGGTTTTGGGCTTTTCATCCACGTTAGACACTTTCATCAGATATCAGGTTATCCTTGGTTAAGATGAAAGACTAAAAAGCTGATAGGGGATTGCTGACTGAGAGTTTCACTTTTCAGCAATGGTTCTCAATTTCATATACACAGTGAAAGCGCCTGGGGAGTGTTAAAAAATACTGATGCCTCTGCAATACTCATTTTATTGGTGTAGGGTACGAGAATTTTGAAAAGCTCTCTAGGTGATATTAATGTACAGGTTGAAAAGTACTACCCAAGAGTGCTCTGGCTGAACCATTTCATTGAAGATTTTTAGATTTTTAGATTTCTTTTTTGTTGTTCCCAGCCCATGAGGCTCTTTGTAATGTTCTTCCATAAGCCTATGTTCACTAATTTGCTTTTGATATGGTGCCTTCATTCTCAACTGTGGATCGTGTCTCCCAGTCCAGGGACTTTCTATTTGAACCTTCTCCTGAGGATACACCTCTAGGCTTCTGCAAGAGTGATGGAGGTGGGTGGGGAGGAGGGACATTTTTGTCCAGCTGAAAAAAAAAAGGGGGAGGGATTTTATTGATCTAACTGCATTTTAAACAGCTTTCAACCAATACTATTTTAGCCTCCTCTCTCTCTTCACTATCACTTCAAAGGGATATGTTGCTGTCAATTTTTGAGCCTTTAGGGTATCCTGCATTGAGAATAAAAACACTGATGCTCATTTTCTCCTCTGCCAAATTAGAATTAAGTTTTGTTGATCATATTTCCAAAATTCTGGTGCCAATAACTCCTCTTTCTTCCCAGTCTTGAGGGTTGAGTTGTGACTTAAAAAAATAAAAAATCCTTTACTTTTAGTGGTGTCAGGAGCATTCAAAATTTGATGTGCTCAATTTGTCATCTTTACCCAGAATAATTACCATGCTTCATATAAGTGAGGTTCAATAAAGTGACAGTTTTTTTTACCCATTTTCCTGAAAAATAAAAGAGATAGTGGGAATTCCTACTAAGACAATCTAAAATCACAAAACCATGGCCATAGCAGGAACACTGTGTTTTATTGCTGTTGTTGTTGTTGTTGTTGAATGAGACCTGCAGGAAAGGACATGAACACTCTATAGAGTTCGTCAGGGGAGAGGAAGCACCCAGTGTGCCAGGTGAACAGAGGGAGATCTGGACTGAGTTTTGGTAGACAGATAAAGTATTAGGCAACAAGGTACATTATCCACAGAGACTCTGATAAAGGATTAAACTGGCAGCCTGTATAGTCCACAATCACCTTTTAGTTGGCCCATGGAGGAAATCTGGATATTTAGCTTCTTTTGAAACATGGACATATGTGATTGTGGCTCACAGTCCTCCAAGGCCTTGGTCAGCAAGAGCTGAGCTGCTGCTGTCTCTGCAGAAGGCCACCTGCCTGGCCTCCAAAAACACGTGAATTTTCAACTAATCTGAATGTGCTTTAAGTATTTAAAAGGGAAGAATAAGGCTGGGTGCGGGGGCTCACACCTGTAATCCCAGCACTTTGGGAGGCCGAGGCGGGCAGATCACGAGGTCAGATCGAGACCATCTTGGCCAACATGGTGAAACCCCGACTCTACTAAAATTAAAAAAATTAGCCGGGCGTGGTGGCGGGCACCTGTAGTCCCAGCTACTTGGGAGGCTGAGGCAGGAGAATGGCATGAACCCGGGAGGTGGAGCTTGCAGTGAGCCGAGATTGGGTCACTGCACTCCAGCCTGGGCGACAGAGCAAGACTCCAACTCAAAAAAAAAAAAAAAATTATCCGGGCATGGTGGCGAGTGCCTGTAATCCCCAGCTACTTGGGAGGCTGAGGCAGGGGAATCACTTGAACCTGGGAGCTGGAGGTTGCAGTGAGCTGAGATCGCGCCACTGCACTCCAGCCTGGCGACAGAGCAAGACTCCGTCTCAAAAAAAAAAAAAAAGAAAGAAACAACAACAACAACAACAAAAGCAATCCTAGTCATGGCAGAAAAACCCTATTTAAGTCAGAAAGAATTAAAACATTTATTGGGCATAAATATATTACATATACACTACAGATACAGTTAGGTATTACATATAGCATAATATTTGCAAAATCTATACATTAAAATTGATATGGCAGTTTTAATACAATGTATATGAAATAGTCTAAAATTTACAATACAGGAAAACATGATTTTCTTTTTCTCCTAGAGTTGAAAAGCTTGGAATGTATGTCCAACAGTGAGGTAAAACATTTTATCTTTCAATTTAAAGAATTGTGCAAGGATAACATTCAAACACATTCAATTAGGGCACTTCTCAATTTTGACATGAATACTGAATTATTGTAGCCAACAAAACAAGGTTAGAAAATGCCAACATTTCAAGTTGATAAGAACAAGGCAGAGAATATGCAAAAAATCTCTTTAAAAAGTTTTCTTTTTCAACAATTTCTTTGAGGACAAAGGGCAGTTTGCTTCACATGACTGGAATTTCTTGTGCCAGGGATGAGTTTGACATACAGAGAAGAGTCAGAGCATCAGAAGGCCACTCATTCACTCCTCACATAGCAAAAGGGCAAAGAGATCAGGTTAATAGAACACTTTATTTTATTGTTCGTGTGTGATGGCAATATATATAGTTATATATCAATATCACATATACATATTTGTGATAAAAAACAGTGCCATAGAGAGTAATAATTTTCTGACTGAAGGAATATAATGAATACCAAATAATGGAGAGCAATAAAATAAAGTGCTGTCAGCTTTGTACTTCACACACTTCAGCTTCCTGGTGGTTAAATGATAGTATGAAAATCTCAAGAAGATCAAATATTCATATAAATTTTGGCCTAAAGTACTATTTACTTAAAAAAAAAATTCAACCAATTAGAGAATTTCTTTATAGCAGCAGTTCTGAAGTGTTTCAAAAAAGAGACTTCCCCAACCCCCCAAGAGGGGGCTTTGTACTCAGTTGAATTTTCATTGCTTAAAAAATACCTCTCCCCAAAACACCTGCATGGAATTTTTTAGAAAATGCAGATGCTGTGGTCATAGTGGGTCATAGCACACATTTAAATAAGGGGGTGAGTTTTGGAAGGCCAGAACTTTGGCAAAAATATATTTACCTTGATGCCATCAGTTTGCAAAGCTAATTAAACTAATTATTATAGTCAATAATAAAATACAGAACTCTCTAGTACTCACTACGTCAATATAGGCACACAGAATAATTCATTGATCTCAGCATTTTCTTCCAAGAGATGATTATGGTTTTTGGGTACATGTAAACGTTTCAATCACTGATAATGTATTTTTTTTTTGGCATTTAATGCACTAGATGCTCTTATCTTTTTAAAAACATAAGAAAATGTCAGAAGATTAATAATACTACAGATGTTGCCAAGGAACAAGACTGACCTAAAATTACAAAAGTATAAAACACAAAAATATAACATGCTACAAGGGAAAATTAGTACATAAGTACACTTAAAAAATTTTACAATAAATAAAGATTGCACTGTAATTGGCATTTAAAGTACTGTATGCAGAATATAGTATAAATAAACCAAAAACAAAATAATGTTTGTTTCCCCATGACTTTGGTATGGGAATATTATAAGCTAGTACAGGATACTGCATCTTAGACAATAAAGATCAAGCACAAAATAGCTATGATCAAGAAAAACCAAGTAGCAAAAATATACAAAAACAGAAGCAGGGGGATACACTGTGTCTGTTGCACCCTTTTGGAATATATTTGCACCTCCAACTCTTAAATGTCCCTGAGGTACTCGAACATTATGGACTTCATATAAATAATCCAATGACTTTGGGTTAAAATTGATTATCTCATGACTCAAAATAAACACGTAAGAGTAACACTTTGCACTCCAATAGCACCTGTTGGTCAAAGATCTCAAAGCACTTACAAACATTAGAATCCCCGTTTTATTTTATTTTATTTTTCATGCATGGGAAAACTGAGGCACAGAGAGGTAAAGTGACGTGTTCAGGTCACGCAGCAAGTTAGTGACAGATCCAGGGAGAGAATCTAGGCTCCTTGATCCCCAAACACCCTGTGTTTACCATCAAACACCATTCCCTCTCCAACCATGGCCAGGCAAACCCACAGAAATAGGAACTACAAATTTAGATGACTCTCTTTTGGGTTTTATCAATTTTCATCTGCTGTTACATTAGTATTATGTGCACTGAATTAAGGTATTGAAATTCAATCACTTCATTGATACCTCAAAGAACAGCCTAAAGGCAAATGTTTCAAAAATAATGAGCTGACACATAAGAAGACTGCTCACAATTAGTGTAAATCATGGACAATGGGCAGAGGCACTAAACTGTCACCAGTTCTTGTCATATAATTCTGGTCAAACATAACAGAATATAATAACTCTAGTGATTAGATTAGAAGTAGTTATATACAAAGACAAACAAACAAGTTAAAGCAGCCTTTAAAATAGCTGAACAAGAAAACAACTAACTATTGCACAATGCCCTCTTAAAGTTACTGCTATGAATTGATGTGGTAAAATCTACAATGCTCCATAATTTATAGGTGCATTCTGGTTACTTGATTTCTTATACAGGCAGCTCATAGTGTTAAAATTATAAGAAATACAGATTATTAAAACATTTTAGATTAAAGTACACATTTTGATTTAAATGAGCTAAACACAGTTAAATAACTGAGTGACAAAATGGTTGTTTAGGGCAGTCTTATCTGAGTGAACATATCTTCTGTATGTTGCTGTTGCTGTGTGGTAATACTCTGACAACACTGAAATCCTAGCCCTGTAAGTACACACACGGTGATTCATGTTTACAGATACAGATGTTCAAGACATATGAAGTGACTGGTGAATATAAATTACTAAACTGTAACAAAAAAAAAAAAATCAAAGGCTTGCAAAAGACATCAGTGAAAACAGAATGAAGGTAAATCTGAAAATTTAAAGGAAAACATAAGAAAGCTAGCTTTTGGTATCTGGTATACTTTTCTTCTTTTTTTTTCTTTTTTTTAAAAAAAAAAATCCAGTTTAACCTTTTCCTAGTTTTGCATTTCAAAAAGGTGCACCAAAACACTGACATTTTTTTTCTAGCTAAATCTGTAAAACAGAGTATATAAATCAAAAAACAAAAGGGCTTTAAAAAGGGGAGTATCTGAATAAATGTGTGTATTAAAATGTGTAGCATTAATTCATACCTCTAGTTTTGTTGGGTTTACTTCATTAAGAAGTACTGTAATATAAAGGCAAATAAAATGGACAAAGTTGCAAAGCCAAGCACAATGATGGCTGCAAACTGTTCATCAGTAGGCATCATGCTCTTCATTTTGGGATCATCTAAGCTCCCCATGTCCCCTGTAAGCATGACCTCACTTCGTTGTAATACAAAAGCCGCAGAGGGGCTGAAGGCTCCGCTTAGCTCCTGAGAGGTGTCTAAACAGCGACGACACGCACATACGCGGAACCTGTAGTCTGTGTTGGTCTGGAGGCCTGAGATTTGGAATGTGGCTTCTTCTCCCTTGTACACCTTCAGGAAAAGAAGAGTCCTAGTTAATTAATTTATAGCAACACTGTTGTCTCTAGAAGAATCTTGGTTTAGATTCACTCCATTCACTCTTGGTTTATATTCACATTCACTCTTATAACAAAGATGATATAAAAATGTACTTCTCTCAATCTGTATTCCAACCATAAAAAGGGTATTCCAACACACTTTGAATGAAACAATATAAAATCCAGTGACTCGAACTTTGACAGAAGGAGATAAGGCACTGACTAGAAATGCAGCTGACATTTTAAGTAGTAAGGATGCATCTCACTAAATTTTAATAATTTAGGTCAGCGGTCCCCAACCTTTTGGGCACCAGGGACTGGTTTTGTGGAGGACAAGTTTTCCACGGACAGGGGTAGTTTCAAAGTGAAATTGTTCCACCTCAGGTCATCAGGTGTTAGATCCGCATGAGGAGTGCACAACCTAGATCCCTCGTATACACAGTTCACAATACGCTTCATGCTTCTGTGGGAATCTAATGCCTTACTGATCTGACAGGAGGCAGAGCTCAGGCAGTAACGTTCCTGCTTGTCAATCACTTCCTGCTGTGCGGCCTGGTTCCTAATAGGCCACTCACCAGTACTGGTACCCGGCCTGGGGGTTGGGGACCCCTGATTTAGACTATAAATCAGAAGATGTCATAATACAAATAGGTCTATGTTTTTGGTCCCAAGAACAAAGTTAACATTCTAAAATGGAAACAATTAAAAACTGAGCAAACAAAATGTAAATTTTCCAGCAGGATGATTTTTTGACAACTGGATACATTACAAACGCATCCCCTCAAGATATCCCACCTCCACCCCAAGAGGTAGACACTATAATGACTTCTAATTCTGTAATTAATTTTGCTTATACTAGGAGTTCATATAAATGGAATCATGCAGAACACACTCCCTTGTGCCTATGAGATTCACTCATGTTATCGAGCTATTCGGTAGTAGTTCCTTATAACTATACCTTAATTCCTCCATTTTCTTTTCGATGGACATTCGGGTTATTTCCAGTTTGGAGGTTTCGTATAATAAAAATGCTATTAATAAGAATGTTATGAATGTTTTTGTTCAAATTTTGAGAACTTAAGTTATTTTTCTGGGTAAATACAAGGAAGTGCTGGGTCACAGAGTAGTTCTGTAGTTAACTTCACAAGAAACAGTTTTCTCAAGAGATTGGATCCCTTTGCGCACGAGAGTCTGAGTTGCACCACATCCTCTTCAACATTGATCGTCAGTCTTTTCTATTTTAGCTATCCTAGAGGGTGCGAATGGTACCACGACTGCATTTCTGTGATGCTGAAAGATGCTGCGCATCTTTTCACGTGCTTACTGGTTGTTCATGTACCTTCTTCTGTGAATAATATGTACAAGTCTTTTGCCTATCTTTAATTTGCAATTCGCTTGACTTTTATTAATTTGCAGGGCCTTGTTATGTGATCTGGATCTAAGTCCTTAGCCAGATATATGTGTTGAGAATATTTTCTCCCAGTTTTGTGGCATGCCTACTTGTTTTCTTGAGGAATTTTTTTTGGATGTAGCCCACTTTATCACAAACTAACATTTAAATAATTTGGTGGTCTGTCTTGAGTTTTCATCTCTGTATGACAAACCTGATTTCTTCTATTAAGAATCTGGGATGTTTTCTTCCTATTTGTTAACATTAACATAATCATCAAGAGGCTTACTGTTACAGAAACTTGAAAATGACCAGTTTACTTAGACATTATCACATTTTGGTTGACTGAAACTAACAAGAGTCTTTGAAGGGGAATGGAGGAAGAAGGTCTCACAAGGTTCTTCTAGCAAAATGAAACCAATCCTCAAAAAACTTAAGAGGAAATGATAATCAGATTAAAATTGCATAAAAATTTATGGCTTAGAGTCAATGGACAGACAAAGAAAAAAATAGCAGAAATGAAACCAAATCAATAAGCGATTTGGCTGATAATTAAAAAAGAAAATAAAATTAACGGAACTCTATCTGAGTAGTACTGAGTTAATACCTGTGAAGTGCTTAAAACACACCTGGCATGAAGTTAGTGCACAGTAGGAGTTAGCTATTATTATTATTGCTATTTAGAACTGAAAAATAACCCAGCAATAAACTTGTCAATTTTGTCAAACACTTTCTTTGCATCTAATGAGATAATTATATGGTTTTTGGCCTTCATTCTGTTAATGATGTATCACATTTGTCGATTTGGGTATGCTGAATCATCCTTGCGTCCCAGGGATAAATCCTACTTGATCATGGTGGATGATCCTTTAATGTGTTGTTGAATTGGGTTTGCTAGCATTATACTGGGGATTTTTACATCTATGTTCATAAAGGATATTGGCCTGTAATTTATTATTATTATTATTTGTAATGGCCTTGCCTGCCTTTGATATGAGGATGATGCTGGCCTTGCAAAAAAGAGTTTGGAAGTATTCCCTCCTCATTTACCTTTTTGAAAGAATCTGAGAAGGATTGGTATTAGTTCTTTAAATATTTGGTAGAGTTCAGCCATGAAGCCATCAGGCCCTAGGGTTTTCTTTGATGGAAAACTTATTGATTTCATCTCCTTACCCATTGGTCTGTTGGATTTTCTATTTCTTCAGTCTTGATAAGTTGCATGTATCTAGAAATTTATACATTTCTTCTAGGTTATCCAATTTGTTGGCATATATTTGTTCCTAATAGTCTCAAATGTTCCTGTGTATTTCTGGGGTATTTGCTGTAATCTTTTTTTCTGATTTTGTGTCTTCTTGGTGTAACTAAAGATTTGTTGATTTTTATCTTTTCAGAAAAACAACTCTTAGTTTTGTTGATCTTTGTACTGTTTTTCTAGTCTCCTTCAATTATTTCTGTTTTCATCTTGTTTCCTTCCTTCTGCTAACTTTGGGCTTAGTTTCTCCCTCCCCCCAGTTCCGTGAGGTATAATGTTACGTTGGGATCTCTCTTGCTTTTTGATGTAGGTGTTTATTGCTTTAAACTTTGCTTTTAGAACTACTTGTGCTGTATCCATTTTTTTTTTTTTTTTTTTTTTTTTTTTTTAGAAGGAGTCTCACTCTGTCACCCAGGCTAGACTGCAGTGGCATGATCTTGGCTCACTGCAAGCTCCGCCTCCTGGGTTCACACCATTCTCCTGCCTCAGCCTCCCGAGTACCTGGGACTACAGGCACCCGTCACCACACCCAGCTAATTTTTTGTATTTTTAGTAGAGAAGGGGTTTTACCCTATTAGCCAGGATGGTCTCCATCTCTTGACCTCATGATCTGCTCACCTCAGCCTCCCAAAGTGCTGGGATTACAGGTGTGAGCCACTGTGCCTGGCCGTATCCCATACATTTTAATAAGTTGTGTTTCCATTTGCCTCAAAATATTTTTTAATTTCCATTTAATTTCTTCACTGACCCATTTGTTGTTCAGAAGTATGTTTTTTATTTCCATGTATTCGTGAATTTTCCAAAATTCCTTCTGGCATTGATTTCTAGTTTCTTAACACTGTGGTCTGAAAAGATACTTGATATAATTTCAGGCTTCTAAAATTTGCTGAGGCTTGTGTTGTGCCTTAACATTTGATCTATCCTGGAGAATGTTCCATGTATGCTTGAGAAGGATGTGTATACAGTTGCTGTTGGATGAAACGTCAGTTAGGTCCATTTGGTCTACAGTATTGTTCAAGCCCAATGTTTATTAATTTTCTGTCTGGATTATCTGTAGAGTATTAAAGTCTCCTACTATTATTGTATTGCAATTTATCCCTCCCTTCAGATCCTTCAATATTTTATGTATTTAGGTGTTTCAATGTTGGGTGCATATATAACTGTTATATCCTCTTGATGAATTGATGCTCTTATCATTATATAATGTCTCTTTTTACAGTTTTTGACTTAAAGTCTATTTTGTCTGATATAAGTTTAGCTATCCCTGCTTTCTTTTGGTTTCTATTTGCATGGAGTATCTTTTTCCAACTTTTCACTTTCAGTCTATGGGTGTCCTTAAAAGTGAGGTGACTCTTGTAGGCAGCATACTGTTGGGTCTTAAAAAAAAATTCATGGCTGGGCATGGTGGCTCATGCCTGTAATCTCAGCACTTTGGGAGGCTGAGATGGGTGGATCACCTGAGGTCAGGAGTTCAAGACCAGCGTGACCAACATGGTGAAACCTCATCTCTACTAAAAATACAAAAATTAGCCAGGTAGGGTGGCATATGCCTGTAATCCCAGATACAGGATACAGGCAGAAGAACTGCTTGGACATGGGAGGTGGAGGTTTTAGTGAGCCGAGATTGTGCCATTGCACTCCAGCCTGGGTGACAGAGCAATACTCTCTGTCTGAAAAAAAAAAAAGAAAAAAAAAAAGAAAAAATTCATTCAGTTACTTTGTCTTTTTATTGGCAAATTCAATCCAAATAATTCTACCCATTAATACAAATACCCTAGAAGTGAATTTCCAACAAACTCACCTTTGCCTAAAACACTTGCCACCTATTCAGTTAGCGGGAATCTACAAATGCCTCTACATGTTTCTAAAGCCCAGTGTGTAAACTTCCACCAAGAAACAGGACATTCCATTAGTGAATACAAGTGCACTGGACATGAATTTAGTGTTGGCTCCAAGTTGAAAGACAAAAAAAGGATCTTATGGTCTGGAACGGAGGCCAGGCTTCCAATGTTCACCTGGTAGTTATCCTTTTAAAGAGATTCCTCCCTCATTTTCAAACTTTACTTCAAGCATCTTATTATATTTTTGCTTAGTGACTAAACTCCAGACAACCAATTCTGTTTACTACTTATACTTTTCCAGATTTATCTTGCTTTTGTTATTCTTTTTATAAGACTTTAAGCACATTCCTCCTGGTGAGTTATCCTGTTTCTTAAAATTGTGGCATGTGTCTTAGCTGTTTGAGTTACAAATAGCTAGGCTGGAGCAACTAAGAAGAGCTGTAAGCAAACCCCTTACGGTCCTGAGAGACCATTCCTTTCTCACTGCTCACAGTTCCAATAATGAATCTAAATGAACGTTTTAAGATGAGCCCATTGTTATGGTGACTGCCGCAATCCATACACAGCCAGCTATTCAAGAGTTCAGACTACACCACAAGGAAACTGCCTCACTGTAAGTTATTTCCCAACATGTGGGAGGTCTCAGGAAAACAATAGCCATTTTTTTTTTCTTTAAAGATAGCTTTTAGTTGTGAGTGTTCTTTATTTTCTTAATTTAGATTTAATTTCTTAAGTATAGAATGCTTTTCTTGGAAACTGTTCTTGAAGAGGATGATTTCCTAAGTATAGAATGCTTTTCTTGGAAACCGTTCATGAAGGGGATGATTTGCAACTTCTGGGACTCCACCAGTTTGATAAAGCAAGTCCTTTCACATTTGCCATCTGGGCTTTGGTTTCCCTATCTTCAAAGTCACAGGTATACTATTTATTCTGACACTCTATGGTGGCGATAAGTTAATGTTGGGATGTTTATCAAGTTGGAGAAAAGCTGACATCTAAGCAAGGTTTTCTGATACACCTCTTTCACTGATTCTTTTGCAGGTGACACCTATTGAAATATTTGTTTACCCTTATCAAAGGGTCAAATAATGTAGTCATTAAGAGTTCTTTTTCTCTGTGCAATCCTGGGAGCTGGGCCTGGCTGGTGTGACTTGGCACTCGGAAGCATTAAGCAGACTTTTCTCAAGCACAGAAACTAGAATCAGGATTTCAGTCTAAGTCCTTGCTCTGCCACTTACTAGGTCTGTGATCTCAGGCAAGTAACAGCTTTGTGCCTTAGTTTTCTCATCTTTAACATGGAGCTAGATCCAGGACCTAATAGTAACACTACTCCAAAGGAGGTTGAGGATCAGTCAAGAAAATGGATGTGGAAAATGCTCTGCAAAAGGAATATGCTGGAGGGTATGTCTGCTTTATTGAATTTAATCTTCTTAATTATGCTGTCAGGTGAATATCATTACTTTCATTTTAGATATGAAGAAACTAAGGCTCAGAGAGGCTGTTAATTTCTTAAAGTCTCTTAGCAAATAAAGGGAGTGGTGGATCCCAGATGAGACTCCACTTCCAAATCAAACACCGACCCTCACCACTGAAATTGCCCCAGCTCTGCCTGTTCCATTATTGTCCTCCACTTTACTCCTCTTCTAATGACTACAGTGTGACACCGGGTCCAGGTTTCACGGCCTCTGACTATGTCTTCCCATAGCTCGCTGCTAACTCTCTGGTATTTCCATGAAAGACCTTCTAAATCATCCCACCACGGCTCCTGCTGCTCCATAAAGGAAAACACTATCTTTTATGATGTTATTGAAAGCAGTTCCCTGCTCAGTTTCTGCCAAGCAAAGACCTGGACAGTGTTTTTGTGATGTGGCCTCTTAATTTCTGCCATCGAACAATGACATCACTGTAGAAAACCACTTAATAACCTATCCCCACAAATGTTGTAAAGACTTCTGGAAAGTGAATATAAATATATATTTATATCTATTTTAATTATTTCTACAGTTTCCAGAATTTGCATGGCTACATCCCTTTTAAAAAGTGGGCTCAGCGGGAGGATCACTTGAGGTTAGGAGTTCAAGACAAACCCTGGTTAAGATTTAAAAAAAAAAAAAGTGAGCCCAAACGTATATTTAATTTCCCAGAAACCCAGTTTAGAGACTCTTGAACAAAGACTTCATATATTAATTTTAACAAAACTTCCCAACTTTAACTTTGTAGACTGGAAGATATCTGAAAATGTATTTTAAAAATAAAGGAATCCTATTTTTCTTGTACCATTAGGCAAAAAGCATTGTAAAATAATATAAATAGTTAACTGAAGGGAACTTTCTTAACGAAAGTCTAATCAAAAGTTAGTTTTTAATTTGTAAATGTTTTTCTTTTAGCTATTCTTGTTATTTTAATTGGAACAGCTTCCCTCTTTCACAAGCCTTGCCAACACAATGTTAACATTATCTTTTTTACATTTAAGATAAATATATTGAGTGAGACAGTGTTCTATTATTTCCATATCTCCACAGCAACCAGCACAATGGCTTGAACAAAGTAGATGCTCAGCGAATGTTCTCTAATTAGAACCCTCAAATACTCAAAGAGTAGATATTCTGATACCACAGTGTTTATAAAGAGAAACTAACAAGTAAATGTGAACAGTAAGCATTAAGATGCACACACAGACCACAGGGGCAAGAGACAGTTTGGTATAGGTGCAGCAAAAAATGGAGTCTATTGATAGAAAACATGTAGTTTCTAGTATATTTTATGCACGTGAATAGTTTTTCTTTTTTTTGAGACCGAGTCTCGCTCTCGCCCAGGCTGGAGTGCAGTGGCTTGATCTTGGCTCACTGCAAGCTCCGCCTCCCAGGTTCAGGCCATTCTCCTGCCTCAGCCTCCCGAGTAGCTGGGACAACAGGCGCCCGCCACTACGCCCAGCTATTTTTTTTGTATTTTTAGTAGAGACAGGGTTTCACTGTGTTAGCCAGGATGGTCTCAATCTCTTGACCTTGTGATCCACCCGCCTCAGGCTCCCAAAGTGCTGGGATTACTACAGGCGTGAGCCACCCCCCCACACGTGAACAGTTTTTCTAATATGTTTTAATCATTTTCTAATATGTTCTAATAGTTTTTCTAATACGTTCTAATAGTTTTTAAAGTGATCCAAATATTAAAACTTTGCAAATACTCTTCTAGTTGTATAAATATGTAAATGTGAGAGCACACATACTTCATAGCTTGTCTACCTTGGCTCTGACTATAATGTCCTTAAAAGTCAGCAAATTCACATAGACCAGTGTGGTGAGGCCAGTCATATCTCAGTGAAGATTTTTTTAGAGTAACAGATTAAGGATTTTCAGGTTCAAAGAAAGTAACAAAGATGAGCTTTAAAATGAAATGTAATGTCTCAATTTTTTTAACTAAATGGTTGCATGTGGAATAAGCCAATCATATTTTATACAACTAAATGAAATAAATTTTTGAGTTATTACACTTGTAAACTTATGTTATTAACTATAAACTGATGGGGTTTTAAAACTAAAATATGAGATCCAAAAGCCCAGATACGATTAAGAAGCCCAAATAATTGAAAATTAATTCAACATCTTTGTAATACCTGTCCCTTGAAGGTAACATCCTTCTGCGGAAGAGAAACATCCCCCGCCCCCTACATGAAAATAATAGTCTCATGTGATTATGGGATTACTGATTAAGTGGGATAACATGTAGCAACCTCCTAGGACGGGGCTTGGCATGCAGTAGGCATCTAAGAAATGTCAACATGATATATTATATTGCTACTTGACTGTACTTTCCCTGCCCCGCCTTGCAGAAATCATGTGTAACACTCCAGGACAAATGCTTGGTGCCAGGGACCCTTGGGGCCTACAAATACAGGACTTGCAGAAATCAACGGAAGGGGAGCCCCATGATGCTGGCTTGGTGTCCAGACATGGCCACGGACACTTACAACCCACAGTACTTAGGAACTAATGATGTCACAAAAATCACCATGTCGCCAGGCCTGCCATACAGCTGTGCCTCCCCCAGGACTGTGCAGCTCTGCGCATCAGGGCAGCAGGCCACGCTTTGTGTCCCTTTGTTTTCATTCATTTTGACAAAGGCACCCTTATGGGCTTTTCCTCTTGACTCAATCCAATTTAAACGGCATGGCTCCATTTGAGATTTTTTTTATTGAAGTAACCAATCATAATATTGTAATAAGTATAGAAACATTATTATTTTTACAAAGACTATTTCTGTTCTTGATTTGATGAATGATATATTTTAAAGTAATCTTGACATGTTTATTCCAAATGAGAGGATTTAAAGTAATACCCAGACAACTGAAAGCAAGAATCCATAACCCTTAATTCAAAATAACATGCTGCATAGTTGAAATCCTGTAAATAACAGGGAGCTTTTTGGGAAGGGTGGCGAGAACAGTGCATACTCGGCTGCTGGAGGCTTACCTTCATCTCTTTACTAATGTCACCCCTCCCAAGAACTGAAGGGGAGATATAATTGCACCATGTTATCATCTGTACACCTCCTTCTCATGATTGAATGATCTAATGCTCACAGTAACCACCTGAGTTAGGGTTACAATGAGAAAGCCAAGACTCAACTAGGTGAATTAATTCCTCCAGAATTACATGACTATGGGAGGGAGACTTGTCGCCGTGTCTCCCCTGCTATGCCTACCAGGCTCAAGGGGAAATGTGCTAACCTGCAGGCCTCCTCTATTGAGGGCATAATGTTGGGCACATAACTTTGTCCTTGAGCCAAAGATGAGAGGCAAGGGTACCGTTACTGAACTGCTTCCTGGGGGTTTTCATCCAATGGGCCTATAAACTCTTAGAGTACTGACTATGCCAGGAAGCCCTCACAATGTAAAACACCCGACAGTTTCTCAATAAACCAGGAGTCCTCTACCTGGCCTCCATGAAAGTGACTATCAGTTCATTTTACATGAATTTTAAGTAGAGGTATGGGTACATGTATGGGAATTTTTCTGATATAAGGGGTCATGACCTTCAGATACTTAAATAAACCTATAAAACTAAAAAAGCCCTAAGAATCAGTAAAATAAACGATGGTTTTTAAAGAGGTCTATCTTGATCTATTTTTATTTTGTTCTAA
The DNA here is from genome assembly GCF_000001405.40 of Homo sapiens. Taxonomy (NCBI): domain Eukaryota; kingdom Metazoa; phylum Chordata; class Mammalia; order Primates; family Hominidae; genus Homo; species Homo sapiens. Next base: position 172,387,515 of record NC_000003.12, on the reverse strand, counting down.
ATTTGACCCTTTATTCATGCAGAAATAAAAAACTGTCCTATGAGACAGTCATAGCCTCATTGTTTAATTTCTGTATTAGGGAAATGAGTTGAAAGTCATTAAAAAAATATGATGAAGGGGACAGGCATGGTGGCTCACGCCTATAATCCCTGCACTTTGGGAGGGTGAGGCGGGTGGATCACTGGAGGTTAGGAGTTGGAGACCAGCCTGGCCAACATGGTGAAAACCTATCTCCACTAAAAATACAAAAATAAATTAGCCGCTGGGTGTGGTGGCTCATGCCTGTAATCCAGCATTTTGGGAGGCCGAAGCAGGTGGATCACTTGAGGTCAGCAGTTCAAGACCAGCCTGGACAACATGGTGAAATCCCGTCTCTACTAAAAATACAAAAATTAGCCTGGCATGGTGGCAGGCGCCTTTAATCCCATCTACTTGGGAAGCTGAGACAAGAGGATCACTTGAACCCGGGAGGCAGAGGTTGCAGTGAGCTGAGATCATGCTACTGTACTCCAGCCTGGGCGACAGAGCGAGACTCCATCTCAAAAAAAAGGAGGCTCCAAGACTTTAAAATAGTTTGGTCAAGAGAAGATCTTTCCTTGTGGTACTCTTTGTGATACCATGTAGAATCAATGCATGCCTTGATACTATATTCTAAAAATGATACATGATAAAAATATATTGATACAGAAATACCATGAAATTAAATGTGTAGCTTTACAGACCTCTAGACACTTCAGAGGTTTTTTTTTTTTTTTTCTTTTTTTTTTCTTTTTTTGAGACAGAGTCTCGCTCTGTCCCCTAGGCTGGAGTGCAGTGGCACGATCTCGGCTCACTGCAAGCTCTGCTTCCAGGTTCATGCCATTCTCCTGCCTCAGCCTCCCAAGTAGCTCGGACTACAGGTGCCTGCCAACATGCCTGGCTAATTTTTTGTATTTTTAGTAGAGACAGGGTTTCACTGTGTTAGCCAGGATGGTCTCGATCTCCTGACCTCGTGATCCGCCCATCTTGGCCTCCCAAAGGGCTGGGATTACAGGCGTAAGCCACCGCGCCCAGCCCAGAGGTTTTCTTTACGCAACAAATCTGAGCACCAAGAATTTCAGTAATTTTTCATAAATTTTGACTGCCAATAGGTAATAATTTCTCACAATTTGTTGATCCTTTCCTTGTCTTCAATGCTTATATTAAATACTTCTTAGAAAAGTTATTGCTGCCTGAATAGGAATATGAATTGTTTTGCTTTACTTCTTACTATGCATGAAACTGTCTATGCTATATCTTGTACAAAATAAGAAGTCACATGCATATAGACACAATTTTCATTCTTTTAAAGAATACTTTACAGTTAAGCCTATTTGAAAAGAAGTTTTAAGCTTCCTGGAAAAAAAGCTGTGCTTGGAATATTTATTAAATGGCAAAAGGCAAACCAAATGTGCATGCAATCTAATGAAGAGTAAAATTGTGAGTAATAATTTAATACTTCAAGTTAATAGATTGTTTAATAATTAAAATCAGCTGCTTGCCCCACATTGTGACACCTGAAAAACAGAAAGCGAATCACCTAGAACCAAGGCAAAGTTAGAGTTGATGCTTCAAACAAAACATCAGAAAAGGCCATGGCACTTGTCATGTGTCGCCTATAAAAATGAGCTTGGGGGAAGGGCCGGGCATGGTGGCTCACGCCTGTAATCCCAGCACTTTGGGAGGCTGAGGTGGGTGGATCACCAGGTCAGGAGATCGAGACCATCCTGGCTAAGACAGTGAAACCCCGTCTCTATTAAAAATACAAAAAATTAGCCAGGTGTGGTGGCGGGTGCCTGTAGTCCCAGCTACTCGGGAGGCTGAGGCAGGAGAATGGCGTGAACCCGGGAGGCAGACCTTGCAGTGAGCCGAGATCACGCCACTGTGCTCCAGCCTGGGCGACAGAGTGAGACTCTGTCCAAAAAAAAAAAAAAGAAAAAAGGTCTTGGGGGAAAAGGATATTATCCTATTAGGGGTGATTTTTTTCTTTCTATGCTGAAGTTTACTCTTGTCACCACTGCAGGTATAAATAACCCTGGTGCTTTGAAGCTGCGTCTTTCATGCATGCAGGAAACATTTACTGAGTGTCAAACTATATGCCAGTACTGGAAAAATAAAAATGAATAACACAAGCCCACGTATTAGTGGGTCCTGTCTGATTAGTGCTATAATTGAGGTATACACAGTGAGCCTGTAGCTCCGCTGTGGTGGATGTACAGCAGTAATTACCTCTCATTTTCTTTTGCTTTGCCTCTATGAATTCAAAGCCTGTTGCCTGTTATCCTTGAACTATAATTATTTTAACCATTGTTCTGCACACATAAATATGTTTCATTCCCTAGCTCATGTCCAGAACAATGAAGTACTAAAACATCATGTTTAAGTTAATGTTTGCTGAATAGCGAGAAGCCAGAAAAAAAAAAAAGAAACCAGTACAAATTGTCCCTGACTCAACTGTGGCTTTTCATGTACGACTACTCTCCTTAATCATTTCTTGGTAAATGCAGGAAGCAAATGGGCATGTGGAGAATGCTAAGCCTCATCTGCTGAGCCTGCCGTGCAGTACTGTGTGTTTTCACCTGTTTACAACAAGGAACACTTTGTTTATAACTGTTTATAATAAGAAAAATAGTCTGTGGCATACATATGATTATGCATTAGTATATTAGCATTTATATGGCCATGGGTCTAAATATATAACATTAAACAGACAACATTCAAAAGAGATCATCTGCCAATAAAATCTAAATTACTGAATAGATTCACCTATAGTTTGGCAATGCCTGATGTGTATAGGTATCAAGCAAATAATGCTGCTTTTTTCAACAGGAAACAGCAGTCACTGTGCTTTGGGAAGCAGAACATTTTTCCAAGAACAGGTGGAAAAGCACGGCACGTAAAATAAAAGATTTTTACAATACAATAACAAATGTGTGATCAATGTACTGCTGGGAAATGAATTATTATTAAGCGTCAAATGATATGTTGTAAAATTTCTTAACACCTCATATTTTAACCATTTTCACATTGCTATGGAACAGAATAAATTCTCTGCTCTCTATTTGAGCTAAGACCCGAAACCAATCATATCTTTCTGGTAAAATGAAACAATTACGCATGTAAGTTATTTACTCTGAAATGGAATATATCGTATAAAATGAGATTCAAAAATAAAAGGAACCATAGTGTCTTTGTTCTTATTTAAGAGGAATGATGGAAACTTTGGTGACATCATCCGCTGATGTTAATCGACACTGGTAGATGTCATATTTAGGATAAAGTTTTTTGTTTAAAACAATTAAATCTTTTATCTGATACATCATATTAACAAAGTACAGCAAAATGTCCAAAATTACCTTTTTTTAAAAACATTTTATTTGCCAATATTCTTTATTATCATATAGCAAACACCAATGAGAAATTTAACAGAAACTCTGAATCAAATGATTTTCTACTTGTGTATTTGGAACTGAACAAAGTTTTTTTTATAAATTATGCTACTGTTTCAGAGAACAGGTGGCATTTATTTTCATCTTTATGTTTGATATAAATGAACGCTCCTATTAAAAGTGCTGACGAAGAATGCACCTCAGCTTTCCTAATGGAATACATAATATTATATCCTGATTTGACAAAAACAAGTTCTAGGGACTATTATGAAAGCCTATAGAGTATCTAAATCCTTCAGAGTCATTGATCTGATTCTTCTTTGGAAGAATTAAGAATCAACAAGGGCTATGAAACATGATAAAACTAATTTCTTATCTGGCTATATTCCAAATGCATTCTCTCTTATGTGGGTTTATTATGTGATTTACAGAGCCTTGCTACTCAAATTATGGTCCATGGACCAGCAATGTCAGTGTCACCTGGGAGGGTGAATCTCCACCCAAGACCTACCAGGTCAGAATCTGCATTTTAACAGATTCCCGGGTGATTCCTTTGACATTAAAAGGTGACATGCATGACTTAGAGCTTCTGAATCACAGGCCTCCAGGGCCTATGCATCATCTCCCTTAACCTTCCATTAGTTCTACAAAAAAGGTAGACAGAATGTAGGCTTCAGTAGTTAGGTTAAGACTACTTCTCCTCGATGACATGATTGTACGTTTAGAAAACCCCATCATCTCAGTCCAAAAACTCCTTAAGTTGATAAGCAACTTCAGCAAAATCTCAGGATACCAAATCAATGTGCAAAAATCACAAGCATTCCTATACACCAATAATAGACAAACAGCCAAATCATGAGCAAACTCCCATTCACAATTGCTACAAAGAGAATAAAATACCTAGGAATACAACTTACAAGGGATGTGAAGGACCTCTTCAGGGAGAACTACAAACCACTGCTCAAGAAAATAAGAGAGGACACAAACAAATGGAAAAACATTCCATGCTCGTGGATAGGAAGAATCAATATCGTGAAAATGGCCATACTGCCCAAAGTAATTTATAGATTCAATGCTATTCCCATCAAGTTACCACTGACTTTCTTCACAGAATCAGAAAAAACCTACTTTAAGTTTCATATGGAACCAAAAAAGAGTGTGTATAGCCAAGACAATCCTAAGCAAAAAGAACAAAGCTGGAGGCATCATGCTACCTGACTTCAAACTATATTACAAGGCTACAGTAACCAAAACAGCATAGTACTGGTACCAAAACAGATATATAGACCAATGGAACATAACAGAGGGCTCAGAAATACCACCACACATCTACAACCATCTGATCTTTGACAAACCTGACAAAAACAAGAAATGGGGAAAGGATTCCCTATTTAACAAATGGTGTTGGAAAAACTGGCTAGCTATATACAGAAAACTGAAAGTGGACCCCTTCCTTACCCCTTATACAAAAATTAACTCAAGATGGATTAAAGATTTAAATGTAAGACCTAAAATCATAAAAACCGTAGAAGAAAACCTAGGCAATACCATTCGGAACATAGGCATGGGTAAAGACTTCATGACTAAAACACCAAAAGCAATGGCAACAAAAGCCAAAATTGACAAATGGGATCTAATTAAACTAAAGAGCTTCTGCACAGCAAAGAAACTATCATCAGAGTGAACAGGCAACCTTCAGAATGGGAGAAAAATTTTGCAATCTATCCATCTGACAAAGGCCTAATATCTAGCACCTACAAGGACCTTACACAAATTTACAAGAAAAAAACCACCCCATCAAAAAGTGGGTGAAGGATATGAACAGACACTTCTCAAAAGAAGATATTTATGTGGCCAACAAACATATGAAAAAAAGCTCGTCATCACTTGTCATTAGAGAAATGCAAATCAAAACTACTATGAGATACCATTTCACGCCAGTTAGAATGGCAATCATTTAAAAAGTCAGGAAACAACAGATGCTGGAGAGGATGTGGGGAAATAGGAACACTTTTACACCGTTGGTGGGAGTGTAAATTAGTTCAACCATTGTGGAAGACAGTGTGGCAATTCCTCAAGGATCTAGAACCAGAAATACCATTTGACCCAGCAATCCCATTACTGGGTATATACCCAAAGGATTATAAATCCTTCTACTATAAAGACACATGCACATGTATGTTTATTGCAGCACTATTCACAATAGCAAAGACTTGGAACCAACCCAAATGCCCATCAATGTTAGACTGGATAAAGAAAATGTGGCACATATACACCATGGAATACTGTGCAGCCATAAAAAAAGAACGAGTTCATGTCCTTTGTAGGGACATGGATGAAGTGGAAACCATCATTCTTGGCAAACTGACACAGGAACAGAAAACCAAACACCGCAGGTTCTCACTCATAAGTGGGAGTTGAACAATGAGAACATATGGGCACAGGGAGGGGAACATCACACACTGGGGCCTGTCAGGGGGTGGGGGGCAAGGGGAGGGATAGCATTAGGAGAAATACCTAATGTAGATGACAGGTTGATGGGCGCAGCAAACTACCATGGCACATGTATACCTATGTAACAAACCTGCATATTCTACACATGTATCCCAGAACTTAAAGTATAATGAAAAAAAAAAAAGATCAATACTAACAACAACAAAAAAAGAGACTACTTCCCTCTATAGTAAAATCACAGGCACTTTAGTTTTCAATTACATACTGACTTTGATGCTTGCAAACCTCACCATCAATGTCAAATACAAATAAACGATTTACAACTCTTTAAGACAAACATATGCTTGAGAACTGAAAATTGAAGATGAATACCACCATATATAAAATGAAATGTAAACTAGGTTTCACCCACTCTGAAGAATTATACAATAAGTACAAGTTAGGCAGTTTCTATCACTGATTTTAAGAAAAACATAGTTCACTGAGTCATTCATAGCAATAAGCAGAGGCATGGAGCCAGCCATACTCAGTTGCACATGTGCCATGCACACTGGTTCTTACCTGTTTGTACTCAGATTCTCTTCCAACCAATACCTGCAGAATGTAGTTAACAGGGTCACCTTTCATTGATGGTACCGTCTCCCATAAAATTTCACATGAATTTCCTTCTAACTGTGTTACTCGAGGTGCTGAAATACAAATCCACACATCCAAGCTCAAAATTCAAAGTATCATGTTAATAGTCAACACTTTAGCACTATTAGTGAGAACCCAGAGAGAGCAAGATTGTGCCTGTGTTTGCCCTGAGAGAGGAGCTGATTTGCCCAGCCTCTCATAAAACCAGCAGGGTGCCCTTTAGGCACAGAGAAGTTACTCCATGACTAAAAAGCCATTGATGAAAAATCCTTTGCCCATTATCCCATTAATAACAGCTTGATGTGGATCACATCTTTTTTTCTCCTATGGCAATTGAGTATCCTCTATGGCTTAGGCCCTGTCCTAGGTATTCTGGAAGATGCAAAAACAGGCAAGGTAAACCCTGTTTTCAAGAAACTTAAGAGTTAGTTGAAGGAAGGGGAGAGCAAGGTATGAGACGCATACAAAAAGAAACATCAGGGAATAAAAATGAGAGGTACAAACAAAACGTTGGGAATTTCCAGAGGAGGAAAAGAGCATACCTGGGTGAGGGTCTAAGGAAAGTTTGAGGAGCAGGTGACATGTGAGAACAGTCCTGGGGAATGGGCAGCATTGAAAGCCTTTAAAAATTAAATTATATTTATATATATTTTATTTTTCACCTCCTGAACTCCTCATTCTCATTTAAAGCTAAATTATATTAGTCTGCAGTAAGGCACTTAAAATATTCTAGATTTAAAAAATATTTTCATAACTTCTATCTCTACAGCTTGATTCAATAGGACATTTTCCTATTTTGTAACTAGAATGTATATCTCCTGTCTGAACCCCCTTATACTTTAATCCCTAATTACATGCAACTAATTCTTTAGAGACAGTTGTTTCTGCTTGCAATTCTGTGTGTTATTGTTTCAGAAAAATAATGCTTTCCTTAAAAAAAAAGAAGAAGAAGAAAAGGAGCCTACGCTGGAAATACTAGGCCAAAATTCCAAGCATTTTATGAAAAAACTAAATAAGGAAGCCTATCAGATTAAACTGTCCTCCAGCTATGACAATAATTTCCTGAGTCTAAGAGTGAGAGGAAGACTACCTGATCATGCATCAGAGTGGGAAAACTGACCTTCTGAAGTAGAAAGGCTGGGAGATGCAAGCACTATCAATGTGCCATTGTATTTTTTGTAAAATGAATCCCCACCAAGAATCACTTTGAGAGGCAAAGATAGTACTCCTTCATACTTTCTAGAAAGACCCCTGAAGTGGGATAACTGATCAATGTGGCCACCCTTCCTTGGTACTAATAAACCAAAGCAGCCACAGTGTGCTCAGACATCTTTTGTGTTATAACTGAAAGGCAAAGCTGCACCAAAGGGCCAGGGCATTTACTGCCAAAGTGACCTGACAAGGCCGTGCATGTGTATGCACATTCATACTCATGTCTTAGTCACATAAAGAAGGGTCTGCCAAAGAGTCTGCAGGGCAGGGAAGCAGGAGGAAGGTATTTACCCTAAACTAATCCTGAAAGGAGCTATGAGGTTCGTAGAATCCAAGCCAAATCCTGACCCAGGTCCTGGAAAGTTCCTATAATTGACTTTGTGCCCTGGTTGTAGCTGACACACCTCCTTCATGTGGGAGTAGAGAGTCAAACACATATGCAAGGATCTCTTGTGCAGGTTGTACTTACCCTGCTATCTGTCAGCCTTAGGGTTATTTTGAGCAATAGCTCGATAAGCCACTTGTGCTGTCTGTCCCCTAAAAGACAAGCTGCAGGGACCTCCACAAGAACCACAGTATTTGCAGGAGATGAGGCAGGGCCTCAGGAGTCCATGAGTGGCTGGGTGGACAGGCTGAGCATGCTATGGTTTCTATTGCTATTTCCTGCCTTGCAAGTCAGCCGCAGTCAGGCATAGCTCTGTGGCTATATAACAGGCTGAGGGCTCAGCAGACCCGGTGGAAGAAGGGTCCAGGCAGAGTGTCTTTTGTTCACTAGCTTCGAGAGATATGGGGAAGATCTGGATACATGGGGCTCTCACAACTTCTGCAGTACCTGATCCCATTAAGGGGCCAGAGTAGGAAAGTAGTCATCCTTGAAGAAACTTCAAGATAAGTACCCCAGGAGATTAGAGCAGAACGCTGCTACAGCTTTCCAAAGGCAGTGCTCCACACCAAGAGCTGTGCGCCAAAAGAGAAAGGCTGCTGAAGTTGCCTAAGTCAGTCTCTAGGCACCAAAGTCACTGAAAGATGAATGCCAACCTCTGCTTCTCTGAAAGTCTAGGAAAGGGGAGTCTGACGCCTTCCTTGGTAAACTGTCTTAAGGGTTGCAGCACCAGGAATTTAACCCTTATTTCTAACCATTATTTTTGATAAACATGCATACCTACAGAGAAAAGTCATCAGTAGGCCCTTTCCTTTCAAGGTCTCTCATTTCCCCCAGACAACCCATCATTGCTCAATCTTCTTTAGAATGTTCTTTTGATTCTATCTTGCTGACATTATATTTAACATCAGAAAAGAGCTTCTTTCTATAAGTCCCAACAGTTCCTTACTCTCACAAGAGAGCGAGAAAGAATACATAGTCTACACACCTTTGATGGTGGGGGGGACACTTTTGGTTGTGCTGAAGGTATAGGTTTCTGAGAAGGGCCCTTCTCCAGCCTCGCTTGCTGCCTGGATTCTGAAGGAGTAGCATGTGAATTCCGTCAGTCTCTGGACCTTGTAGGTGTGGCTGGGTCCTCTGTAGATTGAAATAAACCTAGAAGAAGGAGCAGAATCAATTAGCCATCTGAACGTCTACTAATGACAAGAAATTAATTATGATGCAAACTAATGGAGCAGATTAGGCCAACCTGGTAAACGCTTTCCATACATTCTGAATTAATAATCAGCCAGTTGCTACATTAGGGTTAAGCTTAATGTCTAAATGTATGTTTTGATAAAAGAAAAACATAAACTTAAGCACATATAAAGACTGGAATGAGACTCCTTTAATTAGGATCTAGATTCTAGAAACATCAGTTGCTCATGTTTTTATTTACTAATAAAAAACAGAATTTTCAAATTTTTCATAATGCTAATATCTATAATCTGGTAGTGTAAACTAATCTTCTACTATGTACTAGGCAATGAAGTTAATGTTAACAGGACACCTGAGAAATAAGGTCCTCTTTAGCCAAATTTTGCAAATAACTGCGGTTTGGCCAGAAATGCTTTTAATTTTAACTTTTATCGATCTTACCAAGAGCTTTCAAAGCCCCATTCCTCAACTGCTAAGGAGATATTTAGGATTATGGATCGTTGAGAACACATGTAAAAAGAAAAAAAAATGCTGTGTTCAGAATCATCCATCAGGTTCATCAAAATCACAGACAAACAGCACAGGTGGGCTGGACAGTTTGGACTGGCAGCTTTTGGCTCCTTCCCCCATCGGATCCAGGACTATTTTACACTTCTCTGCTAATTAAGATTTCCATGAAACGTTAAGCATAACAGGCACACAGATAAACAAACAAGGCCTTATGTTTTAGGTGTTTTCCCCCAGGGTCTTGAAAACAACGTTTTCACAATAAAAACATATTTGAGAACTACAGTATGCTGTCATCTTTTTAAAAAATATAGTTTAACTGTAAAATTTTGGAAATAACATAACTTCCCATAAGTCATCCAGGATCTTTAGTAGATTCAGTATTTGAATCCTGCTGGTCCAGTGGACACGCTGAGAACCACTACATAAGTTAATCCAACCACAACGCCTTGTTCCTAGACAGACAGGCCAATGGATTCTACATTTCCAGGGCTTCGTCACAGCATCTGAGGACAATCCACTGTCTTCAGATACTGGAAGTTGGCCACTAACAAAATCATAATCCAAAATGTCTGACTCTTGGGCCAATTTGGCCTAGGGGTAAGCAGAATTTATGTATTCATTTAGCAAACATTTCTTGAACATCTGCTGTGTGCTAGGCTCTGCGGATTTGAAAGATGAATAAGACCTAATCCCTGTGCGTTAGCTGGTCCTGAGTGTGGGCAAGGTTTTCTGAAGCAGGGCAGCAGCTTTTCCATGTGCTGGAGCACAGTCCCTCTGGATGGATGAATGGATGGAAAAATGAAGAGATACAGATCTAAAACATTTTCTTTTCTTTTTCTTTTCTTTTCTTTCTTTTTTTTTTTTTTTTAACAAAGCCTGTCAGAGTCAATGCTTACTTTAAAATATCCACGTGTGTATTCATCAGCCTCTGCAATCAAGTTCCTGAGCCCTGGTCATTTCACCTATTTAGTGTTCTGTCTGCTTTGCTGTGTAAGGAAGTGCCTTTTATTAAAGGCTGAACATTTTTAATTTCAGGGAAAGCCAGAGTCCAGGCTGAAACCCACAAATACCATGGCAACCTATTTAGCACTCTTGACACATTACTACCCTAATGAAGACATCCTTGCTAATGCCAGAGCCAAACAGCTATTTATTAACTCAGCCTAACCTAGTCTACAATCTCTAACAGGAGTAATTGCCCTTAATTATATCACAAATTGAAGTCATGGTTTAAGTAGTGAAAGTGTTACATCTTCATTACAAATTTGCCATAAAGCTCAGTTTTTAAAGGAGTTTGGAGAGGACTACTAGGAACAGTATGCTTTCCTGCCATGCCACAATCTAAGGAGAGTATTTCTTTTGGAAAATAAGTTCAATATATATTTGGACCCAGACCCAATTATAATATAAGCAATAGCACTCACAGTCACAAAGAAATTTACTGAAGCAAATTCATTACTCTAAGTTTGTAATCTAAATAGAACAGATAACATACATATCAATTTAAAAATACATCAAAATCTTCTGTTTCTAGACTATTGTGTTCCTTTAACTTCTTGTTTTGCTCTTGTACTGGAGAATTTTATTAACTGTTTAAAATTGCATTCCAATTTATGAAAAACATAGTGGAAACAGCTGATAGCAATGAGAAATTTAAAATTTTATTTATGTCTGGAGACAGTGTTAATTAGAATTACAAAAATGACCCCATTTGTGTCTAGAAAAAAAGTGGGAGTGACCTTGAAGACTCTGGAGGAGACATGACTGCAGAGGATTTCAGCTTTACAGTTCAATCACCTTATTTTCAGTGAAGGCGGAGTTAGGCAGCTCCAGGAGGCCACCTTGGAGCTGCAATTCCCCATGGAGAGGAACTTGGGAACTGGCAGCCAGGTGCTCCCAGCAGAAGGGAGCTGAGAAGAGGAGGGAAAGGGGTGGTTCTTTCTTCCTTCAGCCTTTTCTAGAATAAGCATGCGTCTAAGCAGTCCTCTAATGTAGCCCACTGTCTACTCCGGCAATAATAAATCATGATCTGCTCGTTGCTCTGATCAAAGCCATCACTGCTTTGACTGGCCTGCCTTCCCCAAAAAAGGGCATGGGAAGAAATTATGAGAGGGGCATGGAGAAGAGCTCTTTTATTTTGTTCTCAGAATGTGTATGGAAATAGCCAAAATAGATGGTAAGTAATTCCTATGTCATGTAATTAACCAGATACTGAGCCTTCAGGAGGGAAGGAGACGATGGGCATGACAGAGGCTCTTTCCTGGGTGAAACAAGTATAAGGTGGGAAGGGGAGACATAAGGAATCCTAAGAGCTTTGGGTGAAACAGCCCAAGGCAGGAAAGCATCAAGTGTCAATTGGGCCATCTAGAAACACTGATGTACCCTGTCCTTTTGGGGCCTGTGCCCTAAGATGAACACACAGGCCCAAGGTCAGAAGGGCTGAGCAATGATGCAAGATGATCATAGCTAATGCCTTCTGAAGACTTTCTCCAGTCATCTCACTCTGAAGTGTGACCAAGAGCCACAGGGAGACATTAAAGACAGAGGTAGCAAGTTGGCACATTATTAAAAAGCTGACACCTTCCTCACTTTAAAGGTTTTCCCTACCCTTTCCTCTTCTTAAGGAAATAAAAGAGGTAAGAATAGAAAGAGAACTGCAAGAATGAAACCATGACATGAAAGGGATGAGAAAGACTTGGTACCAATTTTTATACTATGAAAATCATTTATCACAGTCATTTCCAATTTCATGTCATTTTACTCTCTACAACAAAAAAATTCATTAAATACATAAGAAAATAGATTCTAGTTAAACTTCTTCTATACCCCCTAAAGATCTGGGTACTTGGTAGGCTCTCAGTAAATGCAATTTCTGAGACTGGAATTGGCTCTGTAGACTATGAAACACCAGCAAGTAGTTTAGCCTCTTCGTGCCTCAGTTTTCTCATCTGTACAATCAGTGAAATGATGGAACCAACCTCAGAGATATTGTGAGGTTTAAATGGGTTAATAAAAGAAAACTGCTGGCCGGGCACAGTGGCTCAGGCCTGTAATTCTAGCATTTTGGGAGGCCGAGGCGGGCGGATCACAAGGTCAGGATTTCGAGACCAGCCTGGCCAGCATGGTGAAACCCCATCTCTACTAAAAACACAAAAATTAGCCAGGCGTGGTGATGCGTGCCTGTAGTCCCAGCTACTCAGGAGGCTGAGGCAGGAGAATCGCTTGAATCCGGTAGGCAGAGGTTGCAGTGAGCCAAGACTGCCACTGTACTCCGGCCTGGGCAAGAGCGAGACTCTGTCTCAAAATAATAAATAAAATAAGTAAATAAATAAAATCAAAGTGCTTAGGCTAATCCTGATATATAATAACTCAATATGTGTTAGTTATAATCATCTTAATGCTGTGAAGACAGAATTTTTAGAAAGGACTCCCTGTGTGTTCTGAGAGACCACGGACATCACTGCTAACACAGATTTTTTTCTAGGTGGAAAGTCAGCCGCATGGTAAGAGGCAACCCTGCAGAGCAGGCTGCCATGTTGGCCTCAGACATGAGCTGTGGGACTACATCTGTGAGGCTGTTTACTCTCCCTCAGGCGGGTCCTGCCAGTGAAGTACAGGCAGAGACGCTTCCTTGGAACACACTGGTGAGGTCTGAATTTGACGGCTCACATAAAAGCCCCAAGCTCTGACACAGCAGGCCTCAGATAACTGTTGATTCTAAGTTTCTTTCTGGTAAACCCTAGCATGAAATGTACATGCTGACAGTAATGTCTGGTTCCCCTTGCTCCTCCAATATCAGACAATAAAGACCTACCAAAACATAATAAAAAGCACATATGCCAACACAAGAATAATATAATTCCTCTTTCATCCCAGTTCTATAATTATTTCCCATCATTCCAGGAGGCAAAATAAGAGAGAATCTTCCTTCTTCGGGGCCAGTGATTTATGGCCATTTGTATGGTGCTCTTTCTAGGAAGCTCTGTAGGTTAACACCCCTGTGGCTAGAACCACTCAGGGAGAGATTACAAATATTCATCAAATATTTGTTTTACAAAGACTAAGTTAATTTTTTTCTTGCTCCTATATCTTTTTTAAAAGACAACTTAATTTCAGAATTCATTAATAAGTAAGCCAGAGGCCTTTTGTGATGGAACTAAATATACCAAGCATCCCAAGACACAATGATTGAAGACTACACATTTTAAATGCAGATAAGGATTCCAAAGAGCAAGGCTTTGCCATGAAGAGGAGAACAGCATTTGTCGAGCTTTCCTAGTCCTCTTCCTCTTATATGTAGAATGACCAGGGTCAGTGCTTAGATTCCACCTGCTTATGCACCACAGGCCCTAGGACATCACACCACAGCCAGAAGGCAACAGAAGGGTCCTGCTGTCTTGAAGGTGCTGATCACTACTATTAATACTTCAGTGTGCATTGCTTCAACCCTGGGGAAGGGAGGAGATCCCTGGAGTAGGAAGAAAACAACTGGAAATGGGAGGACCTAAAGCAGCAGGAAATGGTGAAAAACTCTCACTAAGCCCTCAATACCTTGGTTTCTAACAGCGAGTGGGGCTCAGGAAATAGGGATGCACTCCACGAGGAGTCACACCTGCTTAACCCTGGGCTGCTCCCCTGCTCTAGGCTGCTGAGAAGGACTGGACCATCCTTCACTCCCCTCTGTAACTCTGACACTGTCGGTGGAGGAAGTGGAGCACAGGGACTTGGACCCAGGAAGACCTGTGCTCTAACCAGCTCTGCGCTTTACTGCCACATCATTCACCCCTGCTAAGTGTCAGTTCCTCCCATTTGTAAAATGGGCACAGCATCTACCTCGTAGATTGTTTTAAGAGTCAATGCAATATTTATGTTGGTAAAACCTCAGCACTGAGCCTAGGACACAGTAAGAGCCTGGCATATGGCATTATCCAATGGCCCCAAACTCTGCACCAGGAAGGCCACAGGTCACCTTTTGGGGATCTGAATTGTATCCTGAGGACCTCTGGCTCCCAGTTCCTGCTATATAGGCCTCTCCCCAGGCTACTGGGGTCATTCACAGCTTTTGACCCAGCAGGAACATGTCCATCTAAATCTGTGATGTTCTGTTACAGCCTATGCCAGACATTTAGTTCTCCCCAACATAAATCACTCATCTAATTTGGTGGCCAAGGAATACAAATAAAATGCTCACTTTGTTATTTTCATGACATGAGCACGCTTGCTGACAAAAGCAACAAGGAATAATGTATATATAGCGGTTCCTGGAACATACCATATGCTCAATAAAGTCACTGAGTCATTTTAGTATGAGTTCAGGCTGAGGCATATGTAGCTACAGGCAACCCTTATGGTACCACAGGAGCCCCAGCCCACGCTGGCAATATCTCTGAGGGGTCTTCTACTCTACCTCCATCCCCTGCTGCCTGTGCCCATGAAGCTTCAGAGGCATCAGCTCCATGACCCAGGCTCCTGTGAGGACCAAGAAGAGGACAAGCACAGTAACACCTGTGGGGCTCCACTGTGCAGGGAGTTTGGATACAACACACTGGGTGATGATATAAGCTCTGCAGTAAGCTGGCCTGGGTCTGAGTTCAGGCTCAACAGTCTGGTAATGGTGCGTTCTATAACCAGGTAAGTTGTTTCCTCCTCTGTAAAGTGGGTACGATAAGAGTAACTACCTTGTAGCATTATTGAGAGAATTAAAAGGGATGATGAAGGAAAACACTAGACAATGCCTAGCACTTATTAAATGTTCCATAAATACTACTGTTTTTAATACTATGTAAATATTATTGTTTCTAACACGAGTATTATTAACAAAGCACCAATGCTCATGAGTCTGTTTTACAAGGTTGGAAAAGCTGAAGGAGTCCTCAGAATGGCATCCCTCTCATTTTCACTCCATGAGGTTTTCTTGAGTTGGAGAGAAGAGCTGGGCATGTGACCAAGATCACCCTGTCCTGGTGAGTCCAGGCTAAGAACTGTTGCTGCAAACACCAAGATGGGGCAATGCGCCCAATCTAGGCACTGCCCATAGCGTCGGGCATTTTTACTTAGAGAGAAGAAAGATGGGGAGAAATGCTCTCCTACACTAAGAATATTTACTTGGAAAGGGGAAATAAACTGGTTAGAAGGTTGGGTGGGTCATTAAAAGTTTACAGTCTAAATGAATTCTTGATGGCTCTGCCCATAACTTGTTTGAGCTTTGACTGTAATATCTTCTTGAAACAAGACACTCGGATGGCAATAAGCACGCATGAGTTTTAATGTTGGTGATTTACCAATGATTAAAGAAACATTCTGCACAGTCAGCCCTCCATATCCCTAGGTTCCATATCTGTGGATCAACCAACTGCAGATAGAAAATAATGGGGGAAAAAAAGGATGCTTGCATCTATACTGAACATGTTCTGCTTTTTTTGTTCTTATTATTCCCTAAAGCATAACAACTATTTACGTAGCAATGGCATTATATTAGGTATCATAAGTAAACTAGAGATGATTTAAAGTATACAGGAGGATGTGCGTAGGTTATATGCAAATACTATGCCATTTTATATAAGGGACTGGAGCTTCCATGGATTTGTGGGGGTGGGCAAGGGGGGAGGGTGTTGCCCTGAAACCAATCACCCATAGATACTGAGGAAACAACTCTGTGTGATACTATAATGGTGGAAACACGTCATCATACATTTGTCCAAATCCATACAGTGAACAACACCAAGAGTAAACCCTAACGTAAATTATGGAATTTGGGTAATAATGATGTGCCAATGTCTGTTCATCAGCTGTAACAAATGTCCCACTGTGGTGGACGATGCTGATAATAGAAAAGGCTGTGCATGTGTTGGGGTAGGTGGGATAAGGGGTATCTTTGTACCTTCAGCTTAATTTTGCTGTGAACCTAAAACTGCTCTAAAAAATAAAGATATTTAAAAATGAAAAACAAAGTTCTATGTGTTTGTGAATACCCAATGACTGCTTATTTTATTCTGCTTGCCGGTCAGAGTACTCCATGGCGGGACAGAGCAAGCTTTCAAGAGCAAAAAGATACACACAGACCTTAGCCAGAATGCAGAGATTATTACCTTCACTGTAAACTTGAACAAGTCACATAACTCTCTACGGCTCAACTGCCAGACAACAGCTGTCTTGTTCACTTGGCAGGAACTTTTATGAGATTGAAGTAAATTCTATGACTTCTTATTGAATATGCACTAGAAAGGCAAACAACAGATTCTGGGCATTTTCCAGAAATTCTTGGGGAAGACTATACTTTTAATTTCAGTATTTTAGGCTTTAACATTGTGAAAGTTGATTTTTTGCACTCAAGTGCAACTGAAGGAAGAAGTTCCATCATGTTAAATCTTTAAATGTTCCTTTATTTTAAATCACTATAGGGGGAAATGTAATATACATGAAGAATTTAGCTTTAGAATGTTTCTTTAAAACAGTTTGATTTTGAAAAAAAATCCAAGAATGCTCTAACTGGCCTATAACTTAAATTTATGATGGAAAATAAGAGATAATGCTAACGTTTCTATATTTACTACCTTGTTATCTTATAATCCCTAGGCCAACTACAGGCTCACAGCAACACATTAATATTAACTCCTCAAAATGCTCTAACCTGCTGACCTAAAATAACCTGTAGTCTACTAAAGGCTGCAAATGGTACCTTTCAAAACATGTTTCACAATATCACAAATCAACAGCTCAGCAATATTCATTAAAAATGACATGTCTTTTTTTTTTTCTTAATTTCCCTGGGCTCCATGGATTGTGTGTATGTGTATGAATGAGAGAGAGAAAGAGAGAGAGAATTTCGTATGTTACTCAGGTGGCATTTGGGAACGAACGGTGCTCAAAATAGAAATGGATAGTATTCGCCCTCACTCTGCCAAGAACACAGAGTCCGACCATGTCTATGGAGAAGCAGATGGCATCATGTGGGGACACCTGAGGCAGGGAAGGTGCAATACCTAAACTGATTTTGATGTTGGCAAGAGTCCCCGTTTACCGACTAAGCATGAACGTGCCAACAGCTATTGAGAAAAGAGGTTAATTTCCTAACCCTCTGTCCCTGGCTGTATATGGACCTTTTTTGGCTTGTGAGTGATCAGGTTGTAATACTGTTTCATTAATGGGTGGAATTTTTTTATGCTCCTTTTCTAAGAGATAAAATTTCACTATACCTATTGATGGTGGAAATTCTTTACAAAGAATAAAGGAATAAAACAAAAAAAAACTTTTTTTTCGGTATACTTTAGACATTAATGTATTAAAATGGAGATTTATTTATATTTAAAAAAAGGATGACTAGAATTTCTAAAGACCACCTGAAAAGCTTGCAATCTCCCACTCTCCTACTTTGCTTTCAAGTATATGCAGTGAAATCTTCAAGGATACTCTTCCCAGAGTTTTCCAAATTTCTATTTGCCTACTAATGTTTTAGTGGCCTTGTTTCAACCTGAAAAAAATGCTATCTAATTCCATTCTGTTATTTTTGTTTTTAGTAAATGAGAGGTAAAACTGTAATCTGCCTTCTATTTCTGGTCCAATTAAGATCTCAAATAGTTCATTTGCCACCTCTCACCTCTGTCTGTGCCTGGATATTTTAGCCTAAGATTGACTAAGCTACTCGGTTTCAAAGGCTAAATTGTTATGCTCCTTTTCTAAGAAACAAAAATGTTACTTTCTTTTTTTTGAGATGGAGTCTTGCTCTGTCGCCCAGGCTGGAGTACAGTGGCGTGATCTTGGCTCACTGCAACCTCTGCCTCCCAGTTTCAAGCAATTTTCCTGCCTCAGGCTCCTGAGTAGCTGGGACTATAGGCATCTGCCACCATGCCAGGCTAATTTTTGTATTTTTAGTAGAGACGGGTTTTCGCCATGTTGGCCAGGCTGGTCTTGAACTCCTAACCTCAGGTGACGCATCTGCCTCGGCCTTCCAAAGTGTTGGGATTACAGGCATGAGTCACCGCATCTGGCCAAGAATGTTTCTAAAATCTTTTTTTCCCCAACAATTAAGGACTGAAGACAGCTATCATTATTTGCATTTTGTAGTAGGGGAAATTAAGGCAAAAAGAAGTGAAGGGATATGCCTCTAGTCACCTAGAAACCCAGCAACAGTTCTGAGATTTCAACAGAGATTTGATACCCATGTCGAGAATCATGATAGCCTGCTGGTGGATGTCATATGAAAATGTCATTTATCAAACAATGATGATTATATGGATCGGGGACTAGTCAGAGAAGCACTGGAAACAAATCCTGAGGGTTTCTTAAGGGCCTGGCCCTGAGCTGGCTGCCTCACATCTGTTTCATTTAATTTGGCAACATGGTCTGATAAATGTAAGCAGGAGTTTGTTCTATAATAGGCATACGCTGAGAAAGCTCACACCTCCTCAGTGCCCATATATTCCAGACTTTTTTTTTTTTTTTTTTTTAAGAGTCTGGGTCTCACTCTGTTGCCCAAGCTGTAGTGTAGTGGTGCGATCACAGCTCACTGCAACCTCAAACTCCTAGGTTCAAGGGATCCTCCCACTTCAGCCTCCGGAGTAGCTGGGACCTAGTGTGTGCCTCCATGCCTGGCTAAGTTTTTAAAAATTGTTTTAGAGAAAGGGTCTCACTATGCTGCTCAGGTTCCCGACCATTTTTATTAGTTGCCTAGTGTGTATTCTTTCAGGGTTTCTATATGCAGATTCTTTCTGTCCCTCTCTAATAGCCAACAGGCAGGCTCCCTGTAAACATGACAAAGCCACTCCAATTTTGCTGGCCAAAAGGAAAAGTGTCCCGGGCACAAGGGCTGAGTTAATGGAGAGCAAGTGGTAATTATCTGCTCTATTAGATCCCTCTTCCTCCAGCCCAATTTCATGGGAGGCTTGGTTTATAAAACACTGGCTGTCTGACTAAACCTCAACAACAGATTAACCATAAATGCATTCCTGGAATTTACGTTCTTCCCGCCTCAGTGTTGTGTAAAATTATCAGGGAACACAGACCCACAGGGGTCAGGACAGGAAGCAGCATCAACTCCGATTCTGTTAGGGCAGCATAACATTTCATTTAACACAGATAAACGCATCTTCAAAGTCATCGGCACAGTGCTACAATCTTAAAATGCACAAGCTGATCCTGTTATTCTAGTGCCTGTATGAGGTTAATGCAGCTTTATGGAAATGTTTACTTTGGAGATATATTTTTCTTGTATAACACGGGAACCAAAGACATTCATATCTTCTGTGCTGGATCTGTTAAGAATAATAGACTTAATCACTCTAAGGCCAAACTAATTTAATTTTTGTTTTGCTGTCTGCTGTCTGTTTTACTGTCTGCTTATTGTTTGATGTTAATTTATCTCCCTTAGCAAGATAAGCTCTCATAGATAGTCCACATACCTCATAAGGCCCAGCACATAGTAGTAATTCAAGAAAAAAAAAAAATCGATGATTGAATGATCATAATCTTATCATTGAAATGAACTTAGTTCTATAAATATGAAGCACTACTTTAAGGCTTGCTTCCTGCCTTATATATGTGGCTTCCACTTATAAATGTGGATGGGGAATCTTCAGTATCATAAGCCAGAATAAATGGGAAACAAATGTCCTATCCCAGGGGGGTAGAATCCTTTCAACATAGCAAGTCCAGGTGATCTAGATGAATTCTAGGTTGATTTGCCTTGAGCCAAGGGTTTGGGCAAGATGCTCTTTGGGATCCCTTTTATTTACATGAAACATGCCCAAACTTAAGGGGAAAGAAAGCACCAGGTCTGAAAATAACAAAATAGAGACAGTTACTTGGAGAAAGACTCAGGGCACCTTTCTATACTTTGGAGGTTTTGCCTGTAATTTCCATCCTATCTCAAGTCTTCATCACTAGTCTCCATCCCAATGCTCCCCAGGCATGAGGTTACAAGACTGGCATCCTTTAAGACTCACTCAACCTGTCATCTTTTCTAAGAAGTGTTCATTTGATTTTAAGCCTACCTTAGATGCCATTCTTCAATTTTCCCTCTATACCTTGTGCATGTGTCAATCTTTAGGCCTTCCACATCATAATTTGCTTTAAAGCATCTGTGTTCTACCATTACCCACCAGACTGTGAGTTCCTTAAGGGCAGGGATCTTAGTCATCTTTGTCCATCTAATACTGAAGCAGTGCCTCTATTTGACATATAAAACTCCAATAATTGTAAGTTGAAATCAATTCAACTTATCAGAAACTATGTTTTTTTTTTCACCTAAATGGTAGAAGGCTTTGGTACAAACCCTACTTTCTAGAAAATATTTCCCTTTTTACTCAAGAACTAAATAATGTAGACAAAGCTCTCAATGCTTAGCGCTCCTGTAGGCATGCAATAAATCCAAGTTTCCTGGGAGGGAGGCTGTAAAAACAACAACAACAATAACAAAACAACAACAATAAAAATATAAGTATCCTTTAGAATGTTAAAAACATTTTTGGCTGAACATTGCATTTGTAAATCTCTTGGTCATTTCAAATTTTCTGAGAGGTATATAAATAAACATCATAAATCAGTGCATCATAGTTGCAGAACCTGAGGGGTTTTTGGACATTAAGTAGTTACTCTTAAGGGAAGTTAGTATTTTTCTTATTTTTTTATGAATAGCAGAAACTAAAAATATGAAGGAAAAGAGGCAACATGCCCCAATCATTTACAAGGGACACCTTTTCATAAAGGATTTAATTCACAAATACTCTACAAAGATTTGTTGCCTTAAGGTGAAAAGATATCAGAGATCGTCTTCTAGTTTAACCCCTTTATTTAATGAATTAAGGAAATTTGGAGAGCAATAGTTTAGTTGCTAAAATCGACTCAACTCTTTAATATGATAATTATGAAGCGCAGATATACTAATTTTCATTTTTCTTCTGTTACAAAATATACTTAAGTGTTAAGAAGAACACTTAAACAGCTGGCTAGGACTCCCATAAAACTCAGACATCAGCAGCTTTCTTTTCAAAGGCCCACAATGCCTGTTTATAAAGTGTTCATGGTAACACTTTAAGGCTGCTTCCTTCATAAATATGGACTGGGACTCTTCAGTATTGTAAGCCAGAATAGATGGGAAACAAATGTCCTATTCTGGGGGAAAAATCCTTTCAACATAAAAGTCCAGGTGATCTAGATGAATTTTAGGTTGGGTTGTCTTGAGCCAAGGGTTCGCACAAGATGCTCTTTGGGATCCCTTTTATTTACATGAAATATGCTCAAACTTAAGGAGAAAAAATATCTTTGAGAGCCTGCAGGTAAGAAAGAAAAGTAAAATAACAAGCCTATCTATGGTTCTCACCTTGGCCACAAGCGGGATATATCATTATTTTGGCCACATGCATAAGAAGAACTTACTGGTGGTTAATGAAATTAACACATACGCTAAAGAGTATGTGCTTTAAAACTAGAAGCTCCTCTAGCAACAAGTTCAATGAAAAAGACAGCTGCCCCTTGGGAGGAAGACACTGTTCTTTTCAACTGCAGAAGCCAGGTCCTAAAGAACCTTGAGGAGGCTAGATTGACAAAGGCTATGCTAATAAAAAGTATTATGATGTATCCAACTCAAATTGTTTCTCCTTGATACCCATGTGCCAAGATCCAAAGTTAAAGGCTTGAATTCAAAAGGCCACTCACTACAAGAGTTCAGTTTCAAGACACTGAGGAAGGTCATCTTCAAACTAAAATTAGGCTGTTTTCATTCTATTAAATCTCAGGAAAATTATTCACAAATAGAATGAGAATTTATTATGCTCTATATTCCCATCACTTTAATAACTTTCTGAGAGCACTGACAAATCTAATTTAAAAAGATAAATTTGGACTCTAGCTCCTGTAATTAAGAAAAATACTGTTCCTAATGCGAAGTTTTCTTAAATTGCCATTTAAATTTAGGCAAGTCATTTATTTGATTAGGCAAGCCTTGGGCTTTTTGAGGGGGGAAGAAACAACATGTATTGATTACTAGATTCTGCACTGTTTTTTGTCTGGCATATTTAAATGCCTCATGCCAGGAACCTCATTTGGAAAAGTGCTTGGGGAGCTTTTGTTCTTTGCCCAGGAGCCACCGTGTCATGGAAAACCTTGGATCAGACTACACATTTGTATAGTTCTCCCTATGAGGCACTAGTGGGCTGCTGCCCCACACAGGGCAGGATTGCAGCAAGAGGGGGTGCCCTTGGGGCAGAGCCTTCACTTCCCACATTTCTAAGATGGCAGTGGAGGCAGGGCACGGGGAATTGGGAGGCACTGGCCTTTATCCCAACTCAGCTAGCTACCACTTTCAACAACTTTTCTGTGCTTCACTTTTTTCTAAAACAGCACAACTAGAAGCTATTTTCTAAGGATTTACCACCAATGGAAGCCACAGGTCTGGGAAAAAATGAAAAGACATTTAAAAATTTCCCCCAATGCTAGTTTTTTTATACATGGATTGTGATTTCTGTTAGTTCACAATTGCTGTTCTTGCCAGCCCTCTCCTGTTGAGTTGTCCCTAGCCAGTAAAATAAAAAGCCCATGAAAACACATCCGAAGGCACATATAGCACAATAAGATGAATGCTCTTGTGTATCAGTGGATATGAATTTAATCTTTCATGAACCTATCAAAAGAAGCTTTACCTCCCCTGTGTTCTCTTCACTAGAACTAATTTCCAAGAGGATAATCACGTTTTGTTCTGTCATAAAAATTACCAGGTTTGCCAGGTCCTCCAAAGTCAAGCTCAAATGTCACCTCTTTCAAGAAATCTTTCCTGATCTTTTAAACCAGATGGTCTCTGCCTCCTTCAAACTCCCAAAGCAATTTTTTCCTCTGACACTAATGTTCTATGGCCATTTTAAAAATTGATACTATGCTTCTAGAGGTAGGGTCTTATGTGATTTCTAATCTTGGTCTCCACTGAAGGCCCACAGGACTCCACTGTACTGAAATCCATCAAAGTGCTTGACTGCAGAGTAGGGGGTGGAGACTGGGACAGGGTTTTCCGTGTAACTAGAATGGGTTCCATACGTGAAGGAACAGAATAGTATCATGCATAAAAGGAAATAACAGAAATGCTTCTATCCTGACACTGGTTTTGTGTGTCAGTAGGTAAGCAGGGAAGTAGCATTTTGGTTGTTTTGGTTTTATGGTGATCTCCCATTCCCTTTACCTGATTGTCTGATTAGGACTTTTGGTAACAGAACATTCTGTCACCATTAACTTTTGCTTGACATTGGATTATTTCTAAATACAGTTTGGCTGTCTTCTGATCGGACATTTTCAGAGGAAATGAAGTTAGGTTAAACAAATACTACGTGAAAGGCTACATTTGATTTTGACAGCCAAGAATGTTTCCTGGGTATGGAGTTTTATGAAGAATCTCCTATTTGCTCTGGTTAATTTGATATTGCATTGCCCATAGTTACAGAGTACAGTCCCCATCTGTACATCACCCACAGCTATTTCACATTGGTAAACATGTTTGTCCTGATGGTTACTGAATATTTAAAGAGGTAACATCTCTTCCTGGGTCTTATTTCCCTCTGCACTCATGACTAATATAATGCTATTACATAGTGTGAACTTGAATTTGACAATTTTCTTTAGATACTTTCTCTCCATTATCTGGCTTGATGAAAGGAAAAAAAAGTGCATATTATGCTATGTAGGGAAATCAGGATCTTTAGAATGTTTAGAAATTCCAAATAGAGAATAAAAGGAACGACTCCGGGTATAAAACGCAGGGCTCAAGTCAAAGGAAGCCTCTGAACAAGAAGGAAGAGGGTCTTAGTGCAAGCAAATAAAAATGTACAATTGAGATTTCATCCCACAAGCCAAAGCTACAGAAGCTTCAGGAGCATCCTCACCCCCACCTCACCTCTTGTTTCTGTCCTCCAGCTGTAGTGTGTACACAATGTCCTCAGCAGCATGTGTCTTGGAGTTACTGTCTCCCCATTTTAGCTTCAGGCTCTGAGGACCAGCAGCAGCACATTCTAGCCTAGGAGGCAAGGGTGGTAATGGCCGAGTTTTTGCTTTAATGAACTGACTAAATGGTCCAGCTCCAATTTCATTTATAGCCTGAATTCTGATCCTAGAGAAAGGAAAAAAAAAATACAGACAATGCAGGTTAAAGCAGCAGCAATTCTTCATTCGAAATAAACATTGAGCATAGTATTTATTACTTGTCCCTAAAGCAATAACATAGAATGAAGAAAAACAAGTTAAAGTAACTCAAGACAAATAGAAGCACGGGGTTGCTCAGTGGACAGACTATAGTCTCCATTTAAAAAAAAAATAGCAAAAAAGCACGGTAGCAAGATATCTCTTAGTTCTTTAATTTAAAAAAAATAGGTTTGTTGTCTCAGGGAAGATATCTTAAAGATACGCTTTTATATTTTGTCCTAGCTACCGTTTAGCTACCTCATGGTCAGTTTTGGAAGTAGGTGAGCTATCAAGAGTAAATGAAATGGGGGAACAAATGAGTCTCCTTCAGAGTCAAAAACACAGGACAACTCATCAACAGGACATTTCATGTCTCCCTTTTGCCAGCCTCATCCAACAATCTCTGCAAGTCCTTATCTAGAGCTAAGCATGCAGATATTGTTAGTAATGGGATGGCATCCAGATGTGCAAAAATCTTAGCTGGATGTTTGCTATGTGTAGCACAGAGTTATGGATAAGAAACATATTACCTTAATCATCCATGAATTTAAAATCGAAGAGTTAAAATGTATATATAAAATGTTATTTTAGGCCAGGCGTGGTGGCTTACACCTGTAATTCCAGCACTTTGAGAAGCCGAGGCAGGAGGATTGCCTGAGTCCAGGAGTTTGAGACCAGGCTGGGCCACCTAGTGAGACTCCATCTCTACAAAAAAATAATTTAGTGGGCATAGTGACACATGCCTGTGGTCCCAGTACTTGGGAGGTTGTGGTGGGAGAATTGTTTGGCAACACAAAATGAACTAAAAGAAAATTGATATTGAGGAGTAGAGGGTTGCTATAAAGATACCTGAAAATGTGGAACTGGCTTTGGAAGTGGGTAATGGGCAGACACTGGAAGAGTCTGGAGGGCTCAGAAGAAGACAGGAAAGTCTGGAACTTCTTAGACACTGAATAAGTGGTCATGACCAAAGCGCTGATGGAAATATGGGCAGTGAAGGCCATGCTGCGGAGGTCTCAGATGGAAATGAGGAACTTTTGGGAACTGGAGCAAAGAACTTGGCTGCATTGTTTCCATGTCCTAGGGCTTTGTGGAAGGCTGAACTTAAGAGTGATAACTTAGGGTATCTGGCAAAATAAATTTCTAAGAGTAAAGTGTTCAAGAGGTGACCTGGCTGCTTCTAACAACCTATGATCAGATATGGGAGCAAAGGAATGACTTAAAGTTAGAACTTATAATTAAAAGGGAAGCAGAGAGTAACAATTTAGAAAATTTGCAGCCTGGCCATGTGGTAGAGAAGGAAAGAGTACTTTCAGGAGAAGAATCAATGCAGTCTGTAGAGCAACCACTTGCTAGAGAGATTAGCAGGATTAAAAGGGAGCCTGGTACTAATATTCAGGATAATGGGGAAAAGCCCTTAAAGGGCATTTCACAAACCTTGGAGACATGGACCCTCTCCTCCAGAGGCCTAGGAGGACTGAATAATTAAAGGTTTATTGAGGGCTCATTAGAAGCATATGCTGGCACCACACTTTTTGTACAGCCTACAGAACCAAAGGTTTTGTACAGCCTACAGTTTATTATAAGCCAAACAAATCTCTTTTCTTTATACATTAAAAAAATAAAGTGATGTGGAAAGGCAAAGGAACTAAAATAGCTAATGCAAAATTTAAAAATAAGAATAAAGTTTGAAGAATCACACTACCTGATTTTAGGACTTAGTATAAAGCTACAGTAATCAAGAGAGTGTGGTACCAGTGAAGAGAAGAACACCTAGATCAATACAAGAGAATAGAGACTCCAGAAATAGACCTACACAAATGGGGCCAATTGACTTTTGACAAAGGTGCAAAAGCAATCCAATGGAGAAAAGACAGTCTTTTCAACAAATGGTGTTGAAATAATTGGATATCAATAGGAGGAAAATAAACCTCAGCTTCAACCTCACACCTTACACAAAACTTTGCTCAAAAGGGACCACAGATCTAAATGTAGAATATTAAACTTTTAAGAAGAAAACACAGAAGAAAATCTACTACCTAGAATTAAGTAAAGAGTTTTTGGATATGACATGAAAAGCATGATCTTACATAAAAGAAAAAAATAAAAAACTGGATTTCATCAAAATTTGAAACTTTTGCACTGCTAAGAGAATGAAAATAACTAGAGACTGGAAGAATGTATGTGCCAATATTACATCTGACAAATGATTTGTAACCAGAATGTATAATGACCTCCCAAAACTCAGTTAAGGAAATAATCCATTAAAAATGGGCGGAAGACTAGAATAGACACTCCACCAAAGAGGGAATACAGATGGCAAATAAGGACACAAAAACATGTTTGACATCATTAGCCATTAGAAAAATGCAAACTAAATTCGCAATGTAATACCATTATGTTAAAAAAGTGCTGGCAGGGATAAGGTACAACTGGAACTCTCCTATTTCACTAGTGATAATGAAAACTGGCATCACCACATAGGAAAACAGTTGCCTTTTAAATATATACTTATTACATGACCCAGCAATCCCAATCCCAGGTATTTATTTACTCTAGAAAAATTAATATTTATGTTCACACAAAAACCTGCACACAAATGTTTACAGCAGCTCTACTTATAATCACCTAAAACTAGATAAATATCTCCTCATAGTTTGGAACGTAGTAAATACTCATCTCTGATAAAGCAGAGCAAAAACTCCATTACAAAGGGCCTTACTTTTCCCAGATTCTATTACACTGGGGCTGCATCAAGTCTTTTGTAGATAAAGCAATATAAGTCTCTCGGTATAACACTGAAAGATTAGAACTCTTCCTTGCCTCCCATATGAGTCTTATAAGATTGCTTTATGGTATTAATAGAAGAGTTTCTTTCTATGATTGGAATGTAACATATTTTTCGGCAACTGGAAATGAAAAATCTTTTTAAAAAGGCAGTCATCATGATGGTAGAAATTACTATCCTCTTTCCCTTCTCAGGAAAAGGAAATTAAGCCGGACATTAAGTTTTAGTCTTTCTTCAACAGTGTAACACATTTCCTCACCTACAAGGTTTATATTAAGGTCCTTCCAGTGTCCAAACCACCATTCCTTCCCTTTACTCTAGGTACAAACATTCCTAGATTCCAGAGGCCAAGATCCTTTCTGCCATCTGCTGGCTCACCTTGTATTCTAGGTGATCCTACCCTTTGCTCTGTGCCACCTGAATAGCTCTTAGCTACTTTAATACACAAAAGAAAATGAGGTAATGAGTTCCTTAAGATTGTTGTTCTATTCTATACTCAAGAAAAAAAATGCTAAGAGATTTAAATCACTTATAAGAATTTAAAAATAGTTTAGAAGATACAAGTATCAAGATATAAAAAAAATTTAGATTTGATTTTTGGCTTCTGTTGTAAATTCATTTCCTTCCTCAAAGCCTCCCTAGTATTTTGGTAAGTACTAGGTTCTTTATATCTTTAGCTCTAGGGTTCTCTAATCTTTCACTGAGTATCTCCTAGGCATATAATCCTAGCCTTAACACACACCACCGCCACCATCACCACCACCACCACCACCACCACCACCACCACCACCACCACCACCACCACCACCACCACCACCAAGAAAACTGTGGTAGCATTTAACACTCTTTAGCAGTGTAGCCTCTTTGGGAATCCTGCTCATCAATTTGGAGACCTTGGGGAAATTATTGAACACTTTTAAGTAACAGCTTTCTTATCTATAAATTGGGGACAGTGACTTTTTTCTGCAATTACAAAGAAGATTACCTAACTAAGATAAGGGATGTAAGAAGCACTTTCCAATTTTTAATATTTTATACTCCACAGTAAAATCAGGAGAGGATTCAAGGCAGCCAAAAGCACTAGCAAATTTTCAAGTGTTAATTTTTGGAGTCATTATCCTGATGACTTCTTTGAGAGTGTCACGCCATCCCAACAGTGCTGGCACAGGGACAGGTCTTCACTGCGGCTGCACTATTACACCACCTCACTTTACAACATGAGTAACTTGCTGATCCCACTTCCTCCAAGTAATGGCCAAGGACTCAGCAACAGCTGAAAGGATGGGCTTCTTTCTAGGCCATCCGCAGCAAGGTGAGAGTGAGACAAAGATCTCAGGAACTGAAGAAAACAACAATGGCAACCATCACTACACACATTGAGAACTTGCTCTGTTCCAGAAAATGCACTACAGAGTGGGAACTACTATTACATCTGCCTTTAGAGATGAGGAAATCAAAGTTAAATGCAGAGAGGTTAAATAACTTGATCTAAATGACAGAGTGACTACTAGGGGTTGAAAGCTAGGTTTGACATCTACAATATCATCTCTGATTTCTATGCTGACCCCATAAGGTAGGAGCTACTTTGTCTGCTTTACAACTGAAGAAACTGCAGCTCAGCTAGGTCATGTCAGACACATGTTAGATCCAGGCGTGAGCAGAACTCCCTTTAGGTGCAAAGGCCTGTGTGTCTGGCACACCATACTCTTATATCGTAACAGGGGCCAAATATGGTTACAAATCCTACCAAATGACCATTTTTAATTCAAACCACACTTTCAGTTCAACATTGACCGTCTGCCAAGGAAGCAGGCATTTAGAAGAGTCAACAAGTTTACTTCACATTATTTAAACAGCATCTGGCCCTGAAATCAACTACCTAGATTCTAAAATACTCAATTCAACCTATCCTACATTTTTACAAAAACACATTTTGTTTCAGCGAAAATACGTGAACATTTACGTGTACAGCTGATGCACTGAACTAACATTAATTATTTCTAATGATGATGTAACATTCAAAATTGAAAAAAAAAACTGAGGAACTGATAAAATGGAATGAAATGATGTCTTGTTGCATTCTGGGGAAAATATTAAGGCCTCTGAGCACAGGAGGCTGAGACAGCTGAATGAGGACTAAGGCAGTTACTGTTTGTTTTGGTTTAGGGTGAAAAACACAGTATGGGAAAATAATTTCCTAATTCCAGTGAAAGGTGACATTGGACTAATGGGCAAAACAAACATTAACCTGAGGAACCACTCCAAGAATTCACCTCAGAAAATAAAAACTAAACTTTAAGTTTTATTAATTAGAGTCTATCCAAAACCCAAACTTGAGAAGTTTTCTCTTTAGCTCAAGTAACATGCTAATCTTGAAACTTAGATAAAATCTGCAGGTCTCTTTGTTTTGTTTAATTTGCATTATGTCAGTTTAAAAAATCTTCAGCTCTGCAAATTAAGTACAAGGGAAGTAGCATTTTCCTTTCCAATTTGGAGAAGTAATGTAATCCCAAGCAAATTCTTCTTGGCTAGGCTGATGTGAAAAATCTCTTCATGTTTCCAGGAGTCTGCAATATCCATCAATATACTAATATTATTGATTAAACAAATCAAATAAATCAAAGAACCACATTCTTTATAAATTTTGATTAAAAATCCACCATTAAAGGACCACATTTTACATGCAAATACACTCCTGCTTTAGAAGATCATAGCCTTCTACAACGCACTTTAAATATATACATATACATAATCAAATTTCTACTACAAAATATATTAAAAGAAGAATGACTTTCGAAACAAACCATCCTTAGCTGGGAAGACTTCCCTCATCAGGACTGGCCATCTCAGAGCTCGGGATGTCAAGAGTGTGGGTGTGAGGGAGACTGAGAGGGCCCGCAGGTAAAGGGCTAGGGTAGGAGGGGCCTGAGAAGCAAAAGATGGGCTGGCTTTTACAACACCCCTGCCCTAGATTATCATCTAATTAAGAAAAACATGAAAGAAGAGAATAATCATCAGAAAATGTCTTAAGTACGAAATAATAGCAAACAACGAAAATCCCTTTTGGTGGGGAAAAGATGGGCTCCGAGTAAAGTTATTCATAGAAGGCTTCCTGGAGGAGGAGTCGGAACTGGCCTCCCACCAAGCTCCTGCTCCTGAAAGCTCCTTTGACACCAATGCCACCATTCCAGCTCCAGGCACTGAGACTTGCTCTTCTCATACCCTGCTCTGGAGGCAAAAAAACCTTGAAGGATAAGGTTTCTACAGATAAGATCTCTACCTATAATCTGGTCACAACCCATCTTTGAGTTCATTTCTTCCCTACCGAACATTAACAACAGATTTTCTGATTATTTATTTACTATGTGTCAGGCCCCATACTAGGTACCTGACCTCTTATCAAAATACCCAACAACTCTGTTAAGTAGTGAAAATTATTATCCCCTTTTTAATGGTCAGGAAACTGAGGCACAGAGAGCTTAAATAACTTCCCAAAGTTTGCAGAGACAATAAATGAAGGATAGGATTGAAGTCAAGGCTGTCTGACTCGTCTGCTACCACTGAACTACCCAGAACTTGTCTCCTAGTAAAGCCCATCTCACCTTGTTATGACAAAATGATTTATGATTCACTTCTGGGCAGCCTAACATAGTGCTTACCATATAGTAAGGGCTCAATACATGTTATTTTTAAGCCTTTTTTACTTAGCAAAAGGAGTACAAATGAGCAAAACAAACAAATCTACTTTAAGTTTTGGTTGCCTGCCAGCTCAGTCTGAGTCAGGCATATAATAAGGTTGTTTAAAAAAAAGTAATCTCAGGCAACCTCACTAACTGCTCAGTATGGAGAACAAGGAAGGCAATAGTCCTGGTCTGCTCTGAGCCAGCCAACCAGACCATTCCTGGAGGTCTGGGCACTGCACATCAGCGAGGCCACCAAAAACCTGAAAACATTTAAAGAAGAGGTTGGAGGCAGTTATAGAAAACCTGTGCTAATGAAGACAGTGTAAATGATGGTGGGATGGGTAAATAAGAGACAGCTGACATTATAACGTAATGATGTTTAGGCCCCCTCTGGGGCCAATTGCGGCCTACAGGTGTAGGGCTCAAACACCTGTATTTTGAAAAGGTTCTCCAGGCAACTCTTACATACACTGACATTTAAGAATCACTGCTCTAGGGCCAAGGTTTTCAAGTTTCATAAGCATCAAAATCTCCTGAAAGGCTAATTAAAGCACCAAGTGCTAGGCCCCCCCCCTAGATTTTCTAATTAAGTAGGTTTGGGGTGGAGCCTGATAATTTGCATTTTATCGAGTTCCCAGGTGATGCTAATGCTGTTGGTCCAGGGACCACACTTTGAGAATCACTGCTATTGAGGAAGTTCTAAGGTCAGCAGTTGATTTTAGATATAGAGAGGTTTATCCACAAATAGAATGGACTGCCTGGTGAGTGGAAGCTAGAACCACTGCCCCTGTCACTGAAGATGCTCAAGCCAAGGACTGGGAAGGGGTGATACCAGGTGATCCGATTACCCTCTTATCTTGCCAAATCTGTGACTACTTGGCTGGAAGCACACAGAGCAAAGTTAGGTTTTCATTTTTAATAATACTGTTTTCCTTCAAATTAAAGGACAAATTCAATTTCTAACTCAATTATAAACTTAAAGGAATGCCTTTAAAAGTAGTATTGTAATTCTAGTGAAATTTCTACAGAGTGTGTCAGCAAGCCAATGGGTAGTTTGCTATAATAGCACCCATGGAGAAATGACCGATCCATTGAAGAAGCTTTTTTGCATTAGTACATTTACTAGAGAGGTGTACAACCCTGTCCTGGCAACACAGAGAAAGAATAAGCTTGGTATGAGAACAATATGTAACTGCTGAAGGCTTAAAAAAAAAAAAAAAAGAAAATCAAACAAAAGAAACAAGTCTTTTATCCAAGCTCCATGGTCTGCTTAAAATGTTTCATTCCACATGTTTTTATCTAGAACATCATGATCTGTTCATTTATATTTTAACCAATTTATAGGACAGAAAAAAGGTGAAATAAAAGTTGATTGGGCCAAAATTATACCTTTGGTTCCCTGAAATACTCATTTTGTATTTCACTATAATTACTGCAATTATGTTTTTGAAACATAAAACAACAAGACTGTGGGTTGACCAGAGTTCTATTAATACTATACAGTATACCCAATTGTGTACTATAGAAACTAAAATTCCTAAAGCTATAAACCAGTTGGTCTTAAGTATGAATTATTATTATTATTATTTTTTTTTATTGTTTATATTTCTTTATTGAAAAAATACTCATTTACTGATACGGGCATACCAATATCTTAGTTATAAACATTAGCAAGCAAAAATATTAATTGAACTTGGTCCCTAATATTTAGTTTATGATTTCATGATATAAAATATAAAATGTACTATTATTAAATGATAAATACTGACTCATAAAATGTAATTCAGATTTAGTGAACAATGGATTAAAATTGGAAACAATTTAAATATGATAATTCATATTTGAAATTTTTTTCTATTTGTATATAAACAGAAATGGGTATGTAAAACTGTCCTACATGTTAACCAGAAATAAACTACTATAGAATGATATTGAACATACTTTGAATTTTTAAGGTTTTGATTGATTTTCCTTCATTTGGTAGCCTATTCATTATTTTGAAAAATCAGCCTCTACTTCAAGATGTAAAAGAAAAAGCAAGTATGAATTATTTTTACCTCAAGTATGTAATGTCCAGTTTATAATTTATTGATTGGCCAGCAAAGACTATCTAAAGTTTTTTTTTTTTCCCCAAGATCAAACATTTGCCTTTTCTAAAGCTATTCAATTTCCATCTGTCTAAAATGGTATCTTCAAAGCTATCTTATAAGGAAAAGGTGGCATTCTCCCAATGTGAGTTTCTTTTCACATTCAGCTCAATATACTAGCCTTGGCATATTAACACTGAATTAAATTATTTATGCTGCATTCATAAAATACTTTTTAAATAGGGTCTTGAGGTTTTACTATCCAAATCTAAGCTCACCTTTCCATAGTTCCTACACTACTAAACCATTTCATCTTCTCCATAACAGAACTATCCTCTGAGGTGCTTTCTGGTACGTGGAAGATGTTTTTGATAATTTCAACGGTTACCTGGCATTTAATTAGTAAACAATGATTCTCAACATGTGTTCCCTCAGTTGAACCCCTGAGCTCCAGATATTTTTTTAGAAGTCATTAAACAACTATAGGTTGTTTAATAAAAGTCAACGTATCTCCAATGCCATCCTTTTAGAAATCTTAAAAGTTTTACCATCATTTAAGCCACTGTTAAGGTCGGCACAATTTCTGGAAGAAGCCAAATTCTTGGGCTAACATATTGCCAAAGCCCTTTTATAATTTCTGACTTCAATGTTCAGAGGACTGACTTGAGGATTTGAGTCCACTCTGGGGTAGAGACGGTGCAGGTTAGAGTGGACACAAAACCGTCCAGTGAGTCCCTGAACCAGTGTGGCTTTTTCACAGGTCTTCTGGCCTGAGGGATCAAGGTGAGACAATACTCTGGACATCTGGGCTCTTAGAAACAGCTGGGAGATGACATCCACTTGGTCATTTTCCCCGAGAGGTTTACTTAGATCCCCAAGTGCTGATGTGCTGATGCAGATTTCTACTCCCTTGCACTCACCGGTAGGTGGTTTCTGGAAGGAGATCTTTCATAACATGCATGGTGGTGTTGCCCACGGTAATGCTAGTGTCTCCTAGATCAATGGTGTAAGCAAGGATTTCAGATCCGTTATTGCACGGCTCTTCCCAGTTCAGTACAAGGCACGCAGAAGGTGAATCAGGGTAGGCATCAAGGGGCTCCTCCTCCAGGACACAGAGAGTGGAGACGGGGTCAGGGGCAGACGCTGGCGTCTGGCAAAGGACAAGTTCACTGTACGGCCCTGCCCCTGCTTGATTGAAGGCCTACAAAACAGAACAGCAAGACAAAGGCCATATTACACCATTAGCACATTTTGATGCCTCTGAGTTAGCTGCCATTAAATAAATCTAAAGTAGTACACATTTCCACATATGCAGGTAGAAATAAATCCTAGAAAATGTCTACTATCTGATGACCACCTTCCAAAGAATGCTAACCACATTTTTTCCATTATTAAAGCAAAATATGGCCACCATCGTTTCTTATGACAAATAATTTAAAAATAATATTTTATATTTGCATGACCTATTTCAGTTTATACATCATCTTACACGATCTTCATAATAACCCCCTGTGGTAGATCTTAAATGGTAGGTATTCTTATCCGCCTTTTAGAGACAGGAACTCAGAGTCAGATGATAACTTAGGCCTCAGATTTAGAGGCAAAGCTGGGACCGGAATCCGGTTCATCTGACTTTTAAGTCTAGAGCTGTCCTGGAATAGCAATAGGAAAAGGCATCTTCTATCTTCCACATGAATAATAAACTCATCCCTGAAGTCAATCGTCAGCGCTTATCTGATTTTACCCAAGAGAAACAGCTGACACCTTGATCACTCCCAGGTCTTTCAAATGCTTATTCATCACTAGGTCTCCAAGATGCCACACTTATTTCTCCTCCTACCTTACCTCCTGCTGCTTCTCAATCACCTTTCCTGGTTGCCACCATCCCCTGAACTCTTAACGCTGGTGAGTATCAGCCCTCAGTACTTCGGTACCTCCTCTTTTCTACCTCTACTCAAACATTTGGAGATGTCGTCTTGTCTCAAGGAGTAAACGCCACTGATAACCTACTCCCCAATTTGGATGGGTGGCCCAGTCCCCTGCTTTGAATACTGGTCTAGGGTATCTGTATTCAACCACTGAGTATCTCCACTTGCATGTCCAACAGGCATCTCAAACTCAAATGTCCACACAGCTCCTCATCCCCATCCCATCCCTCCTTACAAAAACCTGACTGCATCTCCTGTGGTTTCCCTCCTCCTTCAGAGCACTCAAGTCATAATTAAGTCATCTCTGGACACCTTTCTTCCTCTCATACCCCTCTCCAGGCCATCAGCACATCCTGTATTACTCTAGTCCAACTACTCTCTCTCCCATCTGGTTATTCTAATGACCTCCTAGCTGGTATCTATGTTGGCCCTTGCCCAATAGTCTAAATTCACAGCAATCAGAGTGATTCAGTGAAAATATGAATCAGGATTATCGAGATTTTTGGTTCAAATTCCTTCAGTGGGTTTCCATCTTATTCAGAAAAAACTTTGAAGTTCTTACAAAACCCTACAGGACTATATGATCTGCTGTTCACCACCATTCCCCTTCAAAAACCCATTAGCACTGTGACTTCATTGCCTGCTACTCTCCCCTTTACTGACTCTGCTCCAGCTACACTGTCTTCCCTGCTGCTCCACAGGGACACCAAGTTTGCTGCCTCCTCATGGCCTTTGCACTTGGCTGCTCCTCCTGTCCAGAAAGCTTTTTCTCCAGACATCTGCACAGCTCACTCAATCACCTTCATTTGAGAGAAGGTCTGTAGGTGCCACCTGTTCAGCGAGCCCTCTCTGAACACATTTCAACTTTGCAATCCTTCCTCTGTGGTCTTCCACATTTCCTATTTCCCTTCTTTGCTGTACTTTACATCATGACACTTATCACTGACATAGTATATAGTACTCCTCTGATTAGAATGCAAGTTACATAAGGGCAAAGTTGCCTGTCTGGCTCACTGTTGTATTTCTGGCAACTGTACTTGATACAGAGTATGTGTTCAATAAATGTTATCAAAAAGATTTTCTTTCTTACAAAGAGAAAAACATTTGGCAGCTTTCTTACAAAAGTGAATGTACTCTAAAACTTAGTTTTCATTTAGCTTATTGGACAGCTTATGAGGTTGAATTACAAAACTAAAGGAGTTTGAGTTTTGTTTTGTTTTTTGTTTTTGAGACAGGGTCTGTCTCTGTCTGGAGTGCAGTGGCGCAATCTCAGCTCACTGCAACAACCTCTGCTTGCCAGGCTCAAGTGATCCTCCCACCTTAGCCTCCTGAGTAGCTGGAACCACAGGCACATACCACCACACCCAGCTAAGTTTGAGCTCTTAAATCAAGGTCTAAAACAAAACTTATAACTCCT
This sequence comes from Homo sapiens, assembly GCF_000001405.40. NCBI lineage: Eukaryota > Metazoa > Chordata > Mammalia > Primates > Hominidae > Homo > Homo sapiens. The sequence continues at coordinate 172,350,658 of NC_000003.12, read as the reverse complement.
TTGTTAATTTCAAAGAAGCAGGCTTAAAGCATTTATTTGCTATTAAATCACAGTTGAAACTCTACTGCAACATTTTGTCATACCCACTTCTGTTTCATTACAATACCTCAATACCTCAACTCTCTTTCTGGAAAAATTTTAACATGACAAATTATTTTATAAGTATGTATTTCGAGATTTTGGTACTGATATAAATGTATCACAGGGGCAGAAAAATAGGATATCATGGAGCCCAATGTTTCTATCAACTAGGGCTTTGTATCACCATATCACAGAAGGACAAGAACATGGCTTTTAAGAGTTGAAGCTTAGTTCAAACCTTGATTCCATCATTTAACAACTGTGTGATCTTAGGTTAGTTAATTTCTCTGAGCTTGTTTCCTCAGCTGTAAAATGGGGACAGTAATGCCTAATTCATAGAATTACAGTAAAGATTAAATCGGTTAATATGTAAAATGCTGGCAGAGTATCAGGCCAACAGTAGGAGCTACACTTTCTTCCTTCCCACTGGGAAAATTATGAACAAAATAGTATTTTCTCTATTTTTTCAAACACCTTTTTATTGTGTACTACTTTTATACTTACAGAAAAGTTGCAAAAATAGTACAGAGAAATTTCTGTCTATCTCCTACTCTGCTTTTCCGAAGAGAAACATGTTACAGAACTATAGAATAATGATCAAAACCAGGAAATTATCACTGGTGGCCGGGCACGGTGGCTCACACCTGGAATCCCAGCACTTTGCGAGGCTGAGGCGGGTGGATCATCTGAGGTCGGGAGTTCGAGACCAGCCTGGCCAACCTGGTGAAACCCCATCTCTACTAAAAATACAAAAATTAGTCAGGCGTGGTGGCAGGCGCCTGTAATCCCGGCTACTCGGGAGGCTGAGACAGGAGAATCGCTTGAACCTGTGAAGCGGAGGTTGCAGTGAGCCAAGATCGCGCCACTGCACTCCAGCCTGGGTGACAGAGCGTGACTCCATCTCAAAAAAAAGAAAAAAAAGAAAAGAAAAACATTATCACTGATACTATACTATTAACATACAGACCTAATCAGAATCTTACCAATTCTTCCAATGTTCTTTTTCTACTGCAGGATCCTACTTTCTTTTTAACTAGCTTGGCTCTATGGAAAACATTTCTTGATTTACACCACTTTTTATTAACAGTTTTCAAATGAAATTTAATTCAAAATCAACTTTTTGTAAATAATAGTATGCCTATAATATACAACATGCCCTATGAATGGAATTACGTTGGTACTTAATTAAAACAGTCCTGAAAATACAAAAATTCAAAAATTCCTGAGCAAAACAAGAAATGTTCCACCACATTTCTATAAAACACAGTACAGGTATTATAATAAATTTTTATTTTTTTGAGACAGGCTCTCACTCTGTCGCCCACGCTGGCCTACAGTGGTGCAGTCACAGGTCACTACAGCCTTGACCTGGCTCAAGTGATCCTCCTGCCTCAGGCTCCTGAGCAGCTGGGACTACAGATGCCTGGCTAATTTTTGTATTTTTTTTTTTTGTAGAGGAGGGGTTTTGTTATGTTGTCCAGGCTAGTCTCTATCTCCTGGCTCAAGAGATCAGCCGGCCTCAGCCTCCTACAGTGCTGGGATTACAAGTGTGAGCCCCCATGCCCGGCCAATATTTAAATTCTTAAGTGCCATATATTCAAAAAATATTGGGGTTTAACTTGACTTTGTAATCATGTTGAATGAAAATAATTCATATTTGGTCCACAAATAACAATAAATTGGTATAGTTTGAACAGACCCCCTTCCTGGCAATAGTCCTTTAGTGTGGCAATGGTAATCTTAAAAGTAGTACTCCCTTCATAAGATCTGACTCATTTTATTATAAATAAGCACAGACCTTTGAAAATATATTTCTACTCCTGTTAATACAACGAGGCAAGATTATGCAGGTACTATTCTTATTAATGTATCTTTTATAATGCAGCTTTGGGAAGTCAATGCTAAGACAACATAGACTCTGAAAGAGAAGGAGATATAATAACATTTTAAAGAAACACCAAAACTCAAAAACCATAATGGAGTGAAGCTCTTTACTGGGGTGGCAGACAGCTCTTTATTTATATCCTGCCTTGGTAGAAAAACAAGAGTGTGGCACATAATTTAACCTTTCCCCAGTGACTCAGCATCACTATTATAAATATCAGACAATTTGCTGTGACACTGACTCATTGTCAAAAGGTTAATTATGTCCCAGGTGCTTCATTCGAGAAGCAAGAAAGGTGTATAACAAAAGAGTTTAATCAGAAATGTTTCAAATACAGCAGACTTCTGAATTTAACAGAAATGCTTCAGTTGATCTGAAAAATTAAGTTATGAAGCGAATATTTTCTCCAAAGAGACCAGAGACATTGGGTGTACTTATAATAACGAATTTGATCCATGACTTAAATCAGGTGGGAACTTGACTTTGGCATCTTTGCTTCTTTATCTATTCAAATCTAAATGTGTATGAAGACAGAGCTCTTCAAGGTCAACAACCACATCTGATTAATCTTTGTATCTCTCTTCCTGATCTTCCTTTGATCCTGGTACAAAGTACTATAATGCTCAAGAAATGTTACTGAACAAATGGAAAGAGGAGGACAAAGAACTCTATTTTCTCAAGAGACTAAGGCTTTACACAGAAAAAATAATAATATAGCCAAGAGAGTAAAATAAAAGTAAACCCATGGTTATTGTCACTCTGAGGGGTTAGGCTATGAACCAATTTTTCTTGATGTTATTCTATCTGGACTCCCAAGTGGAAGCTTATAGATAACCAGCCTTGATAACCGTCACTGGGAGGTGGGAGGTGGGGTCCTGTAATCTAATGCAGACTAGTCCAGATTATTTTTGGCTCCATTTAACAGCTCGTAAAATAATTTTCTGTCTTTTACCAGTTCTAAGAGTCTTTCCCACTGAAATGTACATCTCAGGGGAATGAGACAGAAGGCTCCTTCCCTAAGGAGCTGTGTCATCTTTCCCTTGGACTTGGGTCATTTATTCAGCAAACTGATGAACAGACAAGATACAAGGGTGGTGAGAAGCAGAATGGAGAAGAATCTTATTTTGTTCTTAAGTTTCAGAATTTCCTAGAGAAGTGGAAATTAACTGCAAAACACCAAAACAACCAAATATATTTTTATTTAAATGGACTCTTTTTTTCCATATCATCCCTCCTGACAGCCTCCACCACAAGCCTTTGAGTGGGTTTCCCAAAGTGCCTTTCATGGGACAGCAGTCCTTGTGAGTAACATCTGAATAATGTCAACCTACCTGTAGTCTACAGCAATACTGTGCAGCAGGCAACAGGTCTCTTATTTCAAAACGGGTGTCTGTCCCATGATAAATGAGTTCTAAGGATTCTTCATCTTCTCCCCATTCCAACCTGTACTCTGAGATGTCAGCACCAGAACTATCAGGACTCTGGAAAGGCAGAAATGGAAGTAGTTAATAATGCCACTGAGAAGAGAATCCTACTGTGCTTGTATTCAATTAACTAAAATGGGAAAGAGAGCAACATGCCCCAGAATATTTCAAATACATATAAAAGAAAGGCACGATCACAAATATATATACCTACTATGTACCCACAAAATTTTTTTTGAGATTTAGAAATTTAAAAATAAAATAGGGCCAGGTGCGGCGGCTCATGCCTGTAATCCCAGCACTTTGGGAGGCTGAGGTGGGTGGATTGCCTAAGATAAGGAGTTCGAGACCAGCCTGGCCAACACAGTGAAACCCTATCTCTACTAAAAGTACAAAAACTAGCCAGGCATGGTGGTGGGCACCTGTAATCCCAGCTACTCAGGAGGCTGAGGCAGGAGAATCACTTGAACCAGGGAGGCAGAGGTTGCAGTGAGCCGAGATTGTGCCACTGCCCTCCAGCCTGGGTGACAAGATTGAAACTCTGTCACACAAAAAAATAAAATAAGTAAAATAAAATAAAATTTTTTACAAAAAGAAAGGCATGAGAAACCATTTCCTCTCAGTTTTGACTACAGTAAAACTTCCACAACCCTAAATAATATAAGCAAGTGGCAAGTGCCAAGGGTGATTACTATAGTACACAGAGCAAAAAAAAAAAAAAAATCATCTATATGTGCATTTTGGATTTGCAGCTTCCTTATAATTGGTATTTGTATTTGGGAGTAAAGTAGAAGAAACAGAAGTTGATGCAGAATATGCCTGACTTACCTCCCAACCCACTAAGACACATCCATCAGGTGTACAAGAAATACAAGGTGCTTTGCATTGTCCAGGAGGCCCTGCAGCAGTGGTAATTTCTGAGACATCAGAATAGGGACCATACTGAAAGAAAACACACGCACACACACGTATGTATATATGCGTGTATGTGTTTGTGAATGTGTGTGCATACAAAAGCTTATAACCAAATAAAAGCTAGGCTAACATCATCATCAACACAACTAATTAACAAATATTACCCAATGATTTTCACTTTCAATTCAATGTGTGTAAGTTTTTCTCCTATATACAGTCCCTGAGTAGTAGATGTCTGTCATTTTTTTAATTGTAAAATAATTAGTTGGTTGACAAAATATTTTCCCTTTCTTGGGACATGAAATAAAAATATGCTGATTTTTGACAAAACAGGGCAATCTGCTTTCATATTTCTCAGAGGACATCCAAGAAAACTAAGTCAGATGCCCACTGCAGTTTAATTTTTAATGAATAAAAATATACTTGGAATTGTTGGTGATCAAATTCTAGGTATTTCTTCTAGTTACCGGTATTTTCCATTTTGAAAATAAATGCTTCTGTAATGTTTTCTCAGTGTGTTCCCATCACCTCACCTATTCAAGGGTATCCACGGCAATCCTGATGTTACCATCAGTGACCACACTGCTCAGAGCCAGGAATTGCTAGAGACTTACCACACTTTGAGAGAGTCACAGCCACCTGAACCACCCATTTTAATGGTGGCATATTTGATACTTCAAAGGTTTGGAGCAGAGTAAAAACTTGCCAGGCTAACAAAATATATGACTGTCCTTGTCAAAATGAGAGAAAAAAGACGGCGGGGAGGGGGGAAACAAAAAACCACCTCTCAACATAACATGCAAAGATGCTGGGGAGTTGGGGAAGCTCTCTGAAATGGACCTCAGAAGGTGACTACAGCGATATATATGGTTAATTTCTAATACAACAGGAATAAACCCAAGCTGAAGATAGTTTCTTTATAGGATAAATCAGTGAAAGGGCTGAGAAAAGTACAGCTCACACCAGCCCAGTTGCACATTTATCTTTGTTGTGGCAGATAGTAACTGAAAAGTTGATGAGAGAATGGGGTAGACACAACAGTGTGCTCATCACTATCCATCTTCTTTTCGCTTACATGATTATAAGTTCAGGTACATAGGCGTTAATGTTCAGACTTTTTTGTTTTCACTTAAGTATCATTGTTGTGTCTGAAATTCTTTTCTATTGGAGAATTAGGAGAAATCCAGTTTTGGGCACTCTGCCTAAGGAATAGCCCTTCTTTTATTCCTTTACTTTCTTAATAAACTTGCTTTCACTTAAAACAAAAAGTCACTGCAAGTTGGGCTGTCTTATTTTTTTAAAAAATCATCAATTAATTAATTCTATTTATTTGCATGGAGCCCATCTACACAAACCACTGGCACTTTGGACGGGGCATTTAGCTGGCTTTACCCACACGCTTCTGCCCTTTTATGCTTCATCAATCTCTGAGCCCACCCAAAAGCCTCACAGTTACTGGGACTCCCACTGCTCATTATTCATCTCCCCCTAAATCCACATCATTTGGCAATTTCAAAGAAAAAAAGGACAACAACCTTTATGGATATAACATAGACATATATATTCTCAATTTTTGATAGCTCAACTTGACAACTCCAAATGGAGCAATAGAAGGAGAGAGTCCTGTAGTTTTCACGTGAAACAAAACAAAAACAAGCTGGTGTCCCTGGCCACTACCCTTCTCTAGTTGTAAAAACTGACCTAAGATGTTGCTGGTTCATTTAGACAAGACAGTATAAAACTTTTATTAGAACTATTATCTAATCCTAATTTCCCTGAACTGATAAAGTCAATAGAATAGGAAATTTTCCAAAAACTGTCGAAAATATCTACAGGGTGATATCCTTATTAACCTTGAGTGCTGTCTTCATAGAATGATATGAGGACAAAAGAAACAGAAAACTTCTAATGCTGGGTCTATATGAAATCACAACAATATCAACTCAGAATTAAGATTTACAGACACTGCATTAATGGTTGTCAAGGTTGCATCAAGACTGTCAAAAATTTCAGGAGGCTAGAGACAGAAGTGCTAGCACTTTGGGTTCTGATTATGCATTCTGATTCTGGTTATGGTGTATGGGCTTATACTCACCCCTCCATCATTCAGAGCCCTCACCCGGAAGCGATACACGGTTCCAGGAAGCAGGTTGCCGACGGTGCACTCCAGCTCTGGGCCATGGTACACTTCCGAGGCTACGTCTTCGGGCTCCGTCATCTCCACGCTGTACTCTGAGACCTCACAGCCACTTTCCGATGCAGGAACATCTGGGAATGAAGAATTTTTTTCATCTTAGAACACTTTGTGCTTCCAGTTGACCAAAGTGCACCAGATTTCACACAAGTTGAGCAAAATATCACATAGGTGGCCGGCCTCAGTATCTCCCTTACAAAAGAATCCATGCCCACCAAAAAAGAGATATAAAAATAAAAGTTTCTGAATGATGTTATCCATACTCTCCAAAGCGGGTCCACTGAAGTTTATTTAATTACATTGATAAAATAATCCCAAAATTATAGGAACATTAGATATATTTCTTCATATTCTAATGCTAGGTAAATGGAAGAAAAAGAGGGAAGAAAAATCTCTTTAATTGGAAACCAAAGGTCATGCTAAATCAAAATACAGGACCCCAAATTGGCACAATTTATTATACTTTAGACATAAGTGGTAGGAAAAAATAGTCTGCTAGAGAGTTCTGTACATTTGTACTTGTAATTATACATGTTGTAAACTGCTGGACACAACAGGAAACGCTAATACAGCTTAAATCAATGCTGTAAAAACATCAGGACCCACACAGGACAATGCAGCAGAGGTGGTTGCAAACAAAGACGAGAAAGAATTCCATGTGATCTTATAAACCATTCTTTGGTTTAAATTCTAAATGGAGCACAAAATTTTTTTCCCATGAATAAAGTTGAAAACTTTCTGAAAAAGACTGGCTGTTCTTGAAATACTCCCTAGAAATGTGTCCCCTGAAGTGCGGGGGATAAACCATGTGTGTGGCACCATCAGGAAGAGGAAGGTGAGGGACAGTGTTGCGGGTGTGGATGGGGGGAATGACACACATAAAAAACCTGGGTCAACATACTTCAAGAAGAATATGGACATCCTCAACAGACAAAAACGTATATGGTCTTTAGAAGAAAGCTTTGAAACTTAACTACAAAGCATAAGTCTTCATCTCCAATTGTCCAAATTGTCAATGTCAATGTGAAGGTTAGTTCACTCACCCCACTCTAAGTGGACTTCTTTGTGCTTTGGTCTACCCAAAACCCTCGGTGGTCGACATTGACCTGGTGCAATGCTTAGTGTGCGAACAGGGAGACTTTCAGAACACTGCAGGAGAAACACCAGAGAGAACCATCTCTTAGTTACTGTGAATTTATCAGACCTCTACATATCAGGCAAATTCCACCCCATAACTGCAAATGTTACCGAAAAGGGGTTACACACTAAATGTGTGCACATTATGGTATGCTTTTAATGTAATTAAGATCTTCATATAAATTTATGTGTGTGTGTTTTAAGGGTGGCTATAGACTTCATATGGCACTGGGAAAAACAAGAATGATTATTTTTGAAGTTAGATTAGCAGACATGAGTACTGTATATCCTAAGCACACAATTCTTTTCCTTCAAATCAAAATTAGAAAGACCCTTCATGAGGACAGAAGAGAACACAAAACGACAGCTGGATGAAATTTTAAAATGGTACCATAAATGGCCAACCACTCACATACAGAGCAGAAAAGCAAATAAACTCAATATTAATCAATTGATTCTGACATCAACCAGCAGGTACTGTTAATGCTAAAATAAGCAGTCCTTTATTTTGCAGGATCTGGTTGCGTAAGGCTAGTGGTATGGAAGCTGACCTACTTCCTGAGACGGGAGAAAATCAGGTAGAGCTATACAGCTCAGCCACATTCAGTTTTCTTCCTGAGAAGTGGCACAGAGGAAATGAACTCTATGCATTTGAGCAGTTCAGCCTCAGTGCCACCTTGTGTAGTGCCTCACACATAGGAAGGACCACTGATAATCTCAGCTTTGATTTGGATTTACTCCACCTGGGAGGCATTCCAGACAGCTTCGGCACTGTATAAAGATGGTCCAGCTGGACCTTCTCCTCACAGGCAGTGTCTACATGGGCAGTCTAGATGCCCTAGTACCATCCTTGGGGGCAAAAGAAAGTAAACACAAAAACTGATGTTGCAAGTGGGTTGACTAGAAAAGTTAGGCCTTCAAATGGCAGGTATTCTCTTGAAAAGTCAACCCAGCACAGGGCTGTAAGCCACCATCTCTCCTTCTCTTTCATTTTAAATGTTTAGTGGTTTCAAATCATAATGTTAAATATCTCTACAGTGAAAGTATCTTTTGGCATCTCGTTTCTCATTCACTTTTCTGAGTGT